>NC_000001.11:53341713-53493228 GCF_000001405.40 Homo sapiens | reverse complement strand
TGTAAATTCTCTGCGCTGTGGTAGAAAATAACTTGGCAGCTCCTAAAGAAAGTTAAATACAGTTACCATATGACCCAGCCATTCTATTCTTAGGTGGAATAAAAAACCCAAGAGGAATTAAAACATATGTTCACACCAACTCTTGTATACAAATGTTTAAAGTAGCACAATTCATAATAGCCAAAAGGTGGAAACAATCCAAATCTTCATCAACAGATGAATAAACAAAATGTGGTCTATCCGCTCAACGGAATATTATGCGGTAAGGAAAAGACACGAAGCACTGACACGTGCTACGGCACGGATGAGCCTGGGAGACGTTATGCTCACTGGAAAAAGCCAGTCTCAAAAGGCCACATACTGTACGACTCCTTTTATATGAAGAATCTGAACAGGCAAATCTATAGTGACAGAAAGCAGATTCCTTGTGGCCCAGGAATGGTGGCTTGAGGGAAATGGTGAGTAATTGCTAATAGGCATGGGGTTTTTTTGGGGGGATGATGAAAATGATCTAAAATTGGTTGTGATGAAGTTGCATAATTCTGTAAATATAGCCAAAACCATCAAATTGTATATTTTAGATGGATGAATTTTATGGCATGCAAATTATATCTCAATAAAGCCATTATTATTATTATTCTATTTTTTATCTTTTTGGAGACAGAGTCTCACTCTGTCACCCAGGCTGGAGTGCAGTGGCATGATCTTGGGTCATTGCAACCTCTGCCTACCAGGTTCAAGCCATTCTCATGCCTCAGCCTCCAGAGTAGTTGCGATTACAGGCGCTCACCACTGCACCCGGCCAATTTTTTGTATTTTTAGCAGAGACACGGTTTCATCATGTTGGCCCAGGCTGGTCTTGAACTCCTGACCTCAAGTCATCCGCCCACCTTGGCCTCCCAACATGGTAGGATTACAGGCATGAGCCACCGCGCCTGGCCAAAGCCATTATTATTATTTATTTTTATTTTTATTTTTAGAGATGGAGTCTCACTCTGTTGCCCACAATGGAGTGCATTGGCACAATCTCGGCTCACTGCAACCTCTGCCTCCTGGGTTCAAGCAATTCTCCTGCCTCAGCCTCCAGAGTAGCTGGGACTACAGGCACACACCATCATGCCCAACTAATTTTTGTATTTTTAGTAGAGACAGGGTTTCACCATGTTGGGTGGGCTGGTTTCAAACTCCTGACCTCAAGTAATCTGCCTGCCTCAGCCTCCCAAAGTGCTGGGATTACAGGCATGAGCCACAGTGCCCAGCCACATTAGTTTTTAAAAAGAGTCTGTAGGCTGAATTGTTGCTTACAAACTTCTTTTTTTTTTGGAGATGGAGTTTCACTCTCGTTGCCCAGGCTGGAGTGCAATGGCGCAATCTTGGCTCACTGCAACCTCCACCTCCCAGGTTCAAGCAATTCTCCTGCCTCAGCCTCCCACATAGCTAAGACTACAAGCATGCTAATTTTGTATTTTTAGTAGAGACAGGGTTTCACCATGTTGGTCAGGCTGGTCTCAAACTCCTGACCTCAGGTGATCCACCTGCCTCGGCCTCCCAAAGTGATGGGATTACAGGCGTGAGCCACCGTGCCCGGCCCAAATTTTTTTATTTTTATTTTTTTGAAACAGAGTCTCGCTTTGTCACCTGGGCTGGAGTGCAGTGGCACAATCTTGGCTCATTGCAACCTCCACCTCCTAGACTCAAGTGGTTCTCCAGTCTCAGCCTCCTGAGTAGCTGGGACTACAGGCATGTGCCATCTGGCTAATTTTTGTATTTTTTTGTAGAGACAGGGTTTCGCCATGTTGCCCAAGCTGGTCTTGAACTCCTGGGCTCAAAGTAATATGCCCACCTTTATCTCCTGGAGTGCTAGGATTACAGGCGTAAGCCACCATGCCTGGCCTTCTTAATGATGATAGAATCCAAGCAGTCTAAATAAGTGACTATCTTGGTGGTGGCAGCAGATGACTAATCTATCATTTTCTCTACTGGCACTGCAGTTCTCATCAGGATGCAACCCTGTCCCTTGCTTGGCCAGTTGTCACCTCAGAGATACATAACTACGAACAGGTGAGGCACTAATGAGAGGAAAGCCACCCTTCTCAAGTGAAACAGGAGTGGCCAGGAAGAGTGTGCATTCCAGGCACAGGCGGAAGCGAACCTTTTCTGCAGATCAAAACCACTGAAGGAAGAGGCCACCTTGGAAAGGTGCTCCCACAGACGCCAGGGAGGATAGAAGGTGAGTGGGGGCTTCCGCCACAGCCCGGGAGCCTGGCTCATTTTTGTTTCACAGGCACGCTCTCTCCCAACATGTTTTGCTCCTTTTCCAGGGGAACAGCCCATGCAAAAGTGTGGAAATGAGAGGGTGAGCCCTGGTGAGCAGAACACAGGGTAGTTCGGGCCAGTGGAGCAGGGTTGGGGGAGGGCAAGAGGGAGGCTGGAGAGGTCAGTGTACCACGACTGCCCAGGGGGCTGACTCCTGCAGAGAGGTCTGGATGGGCTCGTAGGGTGCCCCTGGACAAGTCACCCCCATCTCTGAGCCCATTCCACATCTGTAACTTCCTTCCTAGTGTGATAGTAAGAATCCCATGAGATAATACATTGTAACATGCTTAACGGGGCTCTTGGAATAGAGAATGTGCTGGATAAATATTAGCTGTTATAATAATGATGATGTTTCTTTGGCTTCCCCAGATTGCCTGATGTGAGCAAAGTGTAACTGAAATGGCAGAGACAGACTGGACATAAGTGTTTATCTCATCTCCTTCTAAACCCCATTAAGGTGATGATAAAGAAATAAAAGGAGCTGTCAGAACAGGAGAGGCGCTGATGGGAGATGGGAGCCAGCAGGAAGTGGAGCCTGGGCTGGTGGCAGAAGCAGCTGGAGACTGCCGAGGGGCACTGCCAGACATGGGCAGGGTCTCCCACAGAGCCCAGAAACACCCAGGACTCAGAGGCACCAAGTCCTGAGGAAGGTGGGAGACAGGGTGGAGTAAAAAGAGGGGACTGGGTTGGTTGACAGTCAGTGTAGGAGCTATTAGACTCCCTGGGGCCCCCCGAAAACCAAGCAGCTAGTCCTCCCTCCGCCACTCACATCCCACTCCCAGAAGACCAGTAGATGATGGTTTATCCTTCACAGAAACTGGACCAGAGGGGATTCTGATGCAGAAACACCAAGTGGCTATTTGGACAGGAAGGTGGAGATGCTTCTCTGGAAAAACTGGCCTCTAGAAATGGGCATTTTGAGCCCACCCCAAGAAGCTGACTTGCCCCTAGGTCACCCCAGTGAAGCTCATAGTCAACAAGCCTCACCCGTCCAATCAGGCTCACAGAGCTTCCCATTGGCTTTTTAGTGCCTCACTCTTATACCAGTCATCTACCAAGGATCACCAGGAACAAACAAACAAACAAAAGCTGGGGGAAACAGAGATAATGCAGGCAGCAGAAAAAAACCAAAACCAACAAACAGAAAAGATAACCAAAATTAAAGCTCTGATAGAAAGTTTGAAGGTAAGAGAGTAAGCACATAAATGAAAAATAGGGAAAAATTAATGAGAAGGTTTGAATATCAATCCAGGAAGTTGGTATCTGACCAATAAAAATTCCCGGCTGGGCGCAGTGGCTCGCACCTGTAATCCCAGCACTTTGGGAGGCCAAGGTGGGTGGATCACGAGGTCAGGAGTTCAAGACCAGCCTTGCCAAGATGGTAAAGCCCCATCTCTACTAAAAATACAAAAATTAGCCAGGCTTGGTGGCGGACACCTGTAATCCTAGCTACTTGAGAGGCTGAGGTAGGAGAATCGCTTGAACCTGGGAGATGGAGCTTGCAGTGAGCCAAGATCATGCCACTGCACTCCAGCCTGGGTGACAGAGCAAGACTCCATTTCAAAAAAAAAAAAGTTCCGGAAAGGGGGAAAAGAGAACATGGAGGAAAGAACGTTATCAAAGAAGCAACAGAAGAAAAATGTTGAAGACCAAGGGATATAAGCCACCAGCTTGACAGGGCTCACTGAGTGCCCAGTGCTACAGATTAAAAGGGCCCGTGCCAAGACATGGCATTCGAAAAGTTCTGAAGAGCAGGGATGAAGGAGGGATCCTAAAAGGAGAAGGAGGAGGAAAAAAAGAAAGCCTCTTACAAAAATATGAAACAGTATCTCATCACATTTCTCAAAGCAACACTGGGAGATAGAAAACTGTAGAGCAAAAGACTTAAAATTTTTCAATGAAAGCAATTTTTAATCCAGGATTCTATGCCCAGCTGAACTATTAATCAAGGGTGAGCATAGAATAAGGAATTTTCAGACGTGCGAAAACTACAAAAAAAAATTGTTTTCTTTTTTTTTTTTTGAGACAGGGTCTTACTCTGTCACCCAGGCTGGAGTGCAGTGGTGTGATCTCGGCTCACTGCAGCCTCCACCTCCCAGGCTCATGAACCTCCCACCTTGGCCTCCCCAGTAGCTGGGACTACAGGCGTGCACCACCACACAATTTTTGTTTTGTTTTGTTTTTTTAGAGACAGGGTTTCACCATGCTGCCCAAGCTGGTCTCAAATTGCTGAGCTCAAGTGATCCACTCGCCTGGCCTCCCAAAGTACTGGGATTATGGGTATTAGCCACCGCGCACTGCCAAAAAGAAGTATTTTCTAAATTTTTTTTCAAAAAGTTATCAGAGGAAAGCTCTCCTAAACTGAGGGAATAAGCCAAGACCTCTTGCAAACAAGGATCCCAGTGCAGGAGAGTGGCAAGCAGAGTCCAAGTGGACAGCTGGGTTGTAGGAAGTGGAGGGCTGGTCCAGGGCTAGCAGAGCCAGATGCTTGGATGCATTGGTGGGTATGAGAGTGATGTGAGAGGTGCTGGACGTCGCTATTAGAAGGTCTGGGGAAGAATTAGCAATAGAAACGTAGACAGCTAGGCCAGTGAGAAAACAGGCAATTATTAATTCCAGAAAACGGTAAAAGCATGAGGAAAAGAAACTAATCAGATTACAGTACTTGGATTAGTAAATATTTACATAATCATGACAACATAAATCCAGAATATCGATTTAGTGAAAACGTATGTGCTCTGACTACCAGGAGCTGGGGAAGAGGAAGTGTGGGAGCGTCGGGAGAAAGGCAGGTTCCCACTGCCCTGCCCAGGAAGCCCATAGAAATGTCTCTCGGAGGAGCGAGAAACAGCGATTTTTTGTTTGTTTGTTTTAGACGGAGTCTCACTCTGTTGCCCAGGCTGGAGTGCAGTGGCGCAATCTCGGCTCACTGCAAGCTCTGCCTCCCGGGTTCACGCCATTCTCCTGCCTCAGCCTCCTGAGTAGCTGGGACTACAGGCGCCCGCCACCACACCTCACTATTTTTTATATTTTTAGTAGAGACGGGGGAAACAGCGTTTTTAACATGCTGGACTGAGGTATGAAAGGGAAGACAGAAGCAGCTTGAGGACTTGAGCAGCTGCCTCTGGAAAGTGGAACTGGGTTGGAACTGGTTGAGATGGGGATAATTTGAGGACTGTTGGTTTTCTTTCTTGGCCAATAGTTCCATTAGATTTTTTGAAACAATGTGTTTATATTACTTTAGGAAAAATAAACATGAATGATCAGTAGGTATAATTAATCCATCCTGGCAGAGAAGACACGGAGGCTCAACAAGTCTAAGGGACTCGCACAAGACCCTGGCGTGGCCACGTCAGGATGGTGCCAGAGCCCTCCACTGCCAGGTCACTCTTGGTGCCAGTGACCAGAAGCATGATGGCAGGAAGGATGAACACTGGAACCTTACCACGCTGACTCTCAAGAGGCAAGTCCGCTTGACCCTCCAACCCTGGAAGAACAGCTTTTAAAAAGTTCCATCCATTTACAGTATGGCTGGTGAAGTCAGCTGAGTTCAGAAGAAATGTATGACCATAATTTTTATTTATTTGATCCAAAAGCTTTACTTTCAAAGAGAGGGATAAATATGAGACCAGGGGAAATTCTTCTCAATCATCATGAATTCCCAGGCCACAAAGCAGGGAGGACAATTTCCATAATATTCCACCTTATTCTGTACATGTTTCCAGGCAGCCTTTGATGCTGCAGCTTAGAAAGCAGCCCAGAGCCTCTTGCTCTAAAACAAATCAGCAGCTCCCCGCCTCCCCTTCCCCACCGCCTCCCCTTCCCCACTGCCTCCATCCCCACCCATTTCCACCAAATTTTGCAACCTCAGCTCCCACCCACCCCACTCCATTGCCTCCTTCCCAACCTGCATTCCAGTGGGGACAGCTTGACACTAGAGTGTGGTGTTCGGGGGGTGCCAGGGCTCCTGCCAGGAGTGGGTTCACAGAGTTCACCAGCCATGGGAGTCCTCAGGATGGTGGGAGACTTTCAAGTAAAAGGACAGTTGCAGAGCGGTGTGAGACACGCCCAGGCTCTCCCAGCCCCAGTTTAAGGTTCAAAGGCCTTGGTGAGGGCTCTGCCCCTCTGTACCTGAGCCCTGGCCCTCCTCCTGTCACTCAGCCTTCTCCCTGGCCCTGCTCTTTTCAGCCTTGCCTCTTGCTTCCAGGCCTTTGTCCGTGCTGTTCCTTCTGTCCGGAGCACTCTTCCTTCAAGCTTCCCAGGTGCAATGATCACATTGCACTCATTGCTTGCTGTAGGTGAGTGTCTCCCCTCTAGCCTGCGAGTCTCTCGGAGGCTGGACTGGTTGTAAATTCTCTCTGAGCACCCTGGGCACAGCAAGGGCCCCCCATGGGTTGATGCCTGTTAAACAAAGGAAGAAAGGGATAAATGTGACTTTGGGGCTCGGCAGCAGCAGTCCAGCCTCGTGCCCTTAACAAGCTACCTTCATCTATAGAGTGGCTTCTCATAGGGTTGTCTCACACCCAACCCTGCCTTCAGATCCACTTGGGGCAAGTACTCCAAATGCAGATTCCTGGCCTCCCCACAGAGCATCTAACATTGGAAGCCCCTGCACCAGGGCTGCATTTGGACTCAGTGCTCTTTCTGTGAGGAGACCGCCTTCTACTGGGCTGGTTTGTGTATCTGCAGCTCCTAACCCTGGTCCCGTGTGGTTTCTGACTGGGTACTCGCAGCAAATAGAGAAGAAACAGCCCACCCTAGCCCCAGAGCCCAGAGTGCAGCCTTCCCTGCAGCGGGGATTTTCAGGCAGGTGAGCGTGAAAGCATGCAGTGGCCTGTGCCTCAGTTTCCTCACCAACATAGTCCTGGTGACTTCCCACGTGCTTGTGGAGGTCGGGCTGGTGAATAAATATCCTCGGAGCTGGGAGGCGTCCTTACAGGCAAGAGCACTCACGGGGCCCCACGGGGCATGGGTGGGGCCGGGCAGGGAGGCATAGGCCCCGTGGGCCCTCTCTCAGCCCGTGCCTCCCATCCACCCCTCCACTTCCACACCACCTGGGTGAGGAGGGCACCACCACGGACCAACGGAAATGGGGGCCTAGAGGGCACTGGCAGGACTGGCCGCAAGTCTCTGATGGAGGACAGGAGAGACCCTGCTTCATGGAAACTCAAAATTGTCATCGCAGCTCACATCCCCTTGGAAACACATTGAGTAAAGACGAGAGCGTCCCAGTCTCCGCTTGGAGGAGGGCTTGGGCTAGGTCCTGGCGCCCCCTCGCGGCCACTCCTTTGCCTTCCCCACAAGCCCCTGGCCATAAATAAACCAAGTCGTCAGGGAAGATTGGAACCCAAAGAACCTTGGAGGCTGCTGATCCCCGCTGGCCCCCACAGACCCCTTCCCTCGTCTCTTCCTCCCTATTTCTGTCCTCCTGGTGATAGCCTAATTTGTAAAGGATGTGTTGACACTCACTTGTCTCTTACCACCTCACGATCACTCCAATACCCTTCTTGTTCTCTTTAGTGCCACTCTCAGCCCACTACTCGGAACCCAGGCCTCTCCCGCCTGTCCCGGCTTTCTTTCCATCCCCCGGCTGCCTCCTTTTCAGGCTTCCGTCCCTGTCCGCAGGCACCCTGCCCCTTAGGACTGCACACCACATCTGCGCGGACAGCATCCGCTCTCCATCCCCAGTGCAGGGTGCCCTCCTGAGCTCAGCCCCAGGAAGCTGCCCCCCACCCCTTCTGCAGCTTCTCACAGACATTCCTGCTCAGCACCCCAAAACCCTTCTCCTACTTTCCCATCTCAGCACATCACCCACTTAGGCCAGAGATCCGGGTGCTGTCCTGATTCTTGGCTGAGACTCCCCTAAGAAGGGGTCTCACAGGCTCCAAATGGCACCTGGGTCTCCAGAGCCAGCTCAGCAGACAGCACATCTCATCCCTGTTAGCTGGCTGCATACACTGGGTGTGCTGAGTCTCCCGGAGGTAGAGGCGAGTGGGACAAAGTGAAACTGCGTCCTCCTGACCAACAGACAGGGATGGGAGCTGGCCCGGCCCAGGCCCGGCATGGCCTCACCATACACTGTGCCTGCGCTCCCTGGACTCCAGGCCTCCGAAGATGCTGTTCCTTCTGCCTGGGACACCCTTCTGTACAATACTAATGCCTTCTTGCTCCTTGACACCAAGCCCGTGTGTCACTTTTTGGGAAGCATTCACTGATGCCCAGGCTGGTAGCCTCTAAGGCATGATCCCGTGCGACCTGGCCCCTGCCTCTCAGCCCTGGGGAGTTTCTATTAGCTCCTCAAATATGAAAACCTTGTTCCCGCCTGAGAGCCTTTACACATGCCACTTTTTCTGCTGGGACCCACCTCTGTCTACCCTGTCCCTTGTTTCCACCAAGGAAAGCTTCCCTGCCTCTTCCAGCAGATCAGGGTCCTCCCATGTCCCCCAGACCCAGTCTCCCTGAATCTCAGTGCTGCTCCTCGGGGGTCAGTCTGCACACATCTGTCTCCTATAGAAATAACGATAACCCTTCCCAGCACCTGCTCTCCCACTGAGGCCTAAGCACTTTGCATACATTCATCCTTTATCACATGTCATAACCCCATCGTTACCCTTGTTTACAGATGGGGAAGTGAGGTCCTATGTCCTCCATCCAAAGCCTGAGTCGAGCACACGATCTGTGCCGGGGAGGGCTTCCCGACCCAGAGCTCTGACAGAACAGACGCCTCCAAATCTTGTTTAAATGGAAAGCAGCCTCGGGGCCGTTCCCACCACTGCCAGCCCTGGATGAAGGCCGGGCAGCCCCTTTCATGCTCTTTATTCTTTTGAACAAATTGTGAGTTTTACAGGATATCCAAGGCCTGTGGTGGCAAACACATGTTCCCATGGTGAGAACCATTGGACCTGCTGGGCACAGGGCTGTGAGTGCAGCTGAATGGCCACCCAGGCCCCTCCTGCCCCTGCTCTGCTGCACCTGGGCCCCCTTGAGCAGGGCCACATCCTAGCTGCCCCATTGGCCACTTCAGAGAGAGGACACAGCTCCCCTACCCCACCCTGGTGTCCCCTTCACACCCCTGGCTCCCACACTCACGGGCCTGACCCCCTCCCACCTCTGCAGAGGCTGCAGCCTCACAGCAGCCCAGGAAAGGGCACTGCTATCATTCCACTCGCAGAGAAGCCAGCTTAGAGAAGGGGAGGTAACTTGCCTGAGGTCACACAGCTGGGTCGGGAAGAAGCTGCGAATTAGAACTCAGGTCTCCTGGCTGCAAAGCTGATGCTCCCCACAACAGCATCATCTATGCCACCAAGGCCAAGAAAGCAGAAAGGTCTGTGTCCCTTGTGCCCTTCGCGTTGCCCTGCATTTACACTGAAAAAGCTGGAAGCGCTTGGAGGCAGAGATGCTGCATTCCAGGCCTGGCTCTGCTCCTCGGGAAGTCACTCACCTCCCCAGGCCTTGGTTTCCCCTTCTGAAAACAAGGAGGATGAACCTGCGCTGTGTAGCCCCCATGCTTCAAAGAACGCAGCCTGGCTGAGTGGCCTCAGGCACTGTCACCTTTCCCGGGTCACACCGCTCTGGATGGTGCCTGTTAGTAAGAAGGTTCTCCACATCCTCCTTCCACCACTTTTGCAGGTAGCCCTCAGGAGCATCCATAACAGCTGAGGATGTTTTAATCTAACGTGCATTCTCCAGCCACAACTTTGATTTTCAAAATAAAGTAACAAGTGCCCCCTAAAAACTGTGAAACTATATAGACTCAAAACGAGCAACCCCCTCTTTTCTGAGGGCCATATTTGGGGAGAACCTCTTGCCTCATATTGAAGCACATGTAGTAGCTGCCCTTCCTCAAGGGCCTAGGGGAGTGCTCTGGCTGCCGGAGGCCTCCTCTGGGGCTTGGATCCTAACACACTTTGAAGCCTGGGGCGTGTTCGGACCTGCTTGGCATGACATTCAAGGCCCTTCCGGCATCTGTTCTCCAACCGCTTCCAGCGCATCTCTTGCCCCACCCTCTCACCCTGTGCTCCAGCCACATCTGCTGGAGTCCCTCCCTTAGCCCCCCAGGAATACTTTGCCCTCAAGGGGACAGATGTTTGGAGGGGAGGGCTACAGAGCCCAGTGGGTTGGGGCAGGCATCTGAGAAGATGCCATCAAGCTGAACCAGAATGAGGACGAGCCAGGCAAGGAGAGCATTCCTGGGAGAGGAAACGGTAGGAGCAAAGGCCCAAGGTGGGGACGAGCTCAAAGGAATGGAGAAAGGCCAGTGTGGCTGGCATGCGGGGGGTGAGAGAAAGGAAGGGGAGTAGCAGGTGTGGGGAGAGGTGGACCAACAAGGACCTGGGCAGTGACATCCACAGCAGCCCTGCTCCCCGCAGCGTAACCTGCATGCCCACATGCCAGAGGAAGAGCACGAGAACCCCAGGATGCCCCCAGAGTACCCTGTAGCAGAGAAGGCAGCAGCACACAACACCACACCATGGGTGAATGTGAGCAACGTCATATTCAGTGAGGAAGCCTCGCCCCAAAGACTACATCCTAAAACAGCTGTTCAAAAGACCATCTAGGCATACACATGGATGCAATGAAATCCAACAAGCAAAGCAAGTGCAGGAGGCAAAGGGATTCCGGGTTCTGGCTGCTGAGGCCGGAGAGGTGAGAGTCAATGGGGGTCCGCTGGCTGGAGGTCAGATACTGTCCGGGCCTGGATTTTTGTCTGGAGCAATGGATTCATGGGTGCTTATCACATTATTAAAAACAAACAAACAAACAAGTGAAGGTGTCCTGGACCAATGATGAGTGTCTCTCATGTACCAACCTGGTGGGGGCCAGATGGCTCCAAATCTCAAGGCCCAGGCCAAGGGTCAGGGGGTTATTTGAAGAGCAGTAGAGGCCATTGGTGGGTTGGGGGCAGGGGACTGACCTGATGCGTGTCGTGTGGGGGTGGTTACTCTCCCTCTGCAGGTCACAAGCAGATGCAGCCTCCACCCTGCTCCGTGTGCAGGGGGCTGACCCCCACAGACAGCATCTCCTGGGCTCCTGCACTCTCTGGCTTCCAGTAGGAGACCAGCAGGCAGGAGGTAACAGAATTTGGAATTCTCCTCTGAAAGGTACATGGCTATACCTTGTACCATCTGCCAGTAGATAAGAGGCATGGTGCTGGCAGGACCTCTGGATTTCCGAGGATGCGTACACCACACCTGGGAGTGCGGCTCTGACCTACTTCCTGGGAAACTGGTGAGGCTGCCAGTTTTGGAGGGGCTCCAAGTAAGAAAGGGCTGTGCATTAGGTCTGGCTACAGTGCGAGCTGCCCTGACACACAGACCTTGTGACCCAGCAGATCCAAGGGAGCGTGGAATGTCTTAGGCAGGTTGGGTGGCAGGTGGGAGTGACGTGCCCCCAGTGTCACAGCACAGAGCCCTCTGCCTTGGAGCCCTGATGCTCTACTCATCAGCTGCTCTTCCGCATTAGAAAGGCAGCTGAGTCTGGCTACTGGCCCTGGTAGAGACCGACCTCTATGGCCATGGGACGCCCAACAGCTGTGTCCCGAGCCGCTGGCTAGATGTCTTCCTGTTGCGCACCCACCCCTGCCCCTAATTTCTCTCCCTTCTCCTCCCTTGCTCTGTGCCCCAGGAGGCTGACCTGTGGGGAGTGCATCAAGGGGCTTTGGGGCTCTCTGGCTTCTGGTTAGGCTCAGCATTGAGGAGCCATAGCAGGAGACTGGAGGGTGGGGGAGAGAGAGTCTTTCTGCTCCCAGCGCCCTTCCTGTAGGCTGTCCCTTGATGGGAGTCACAGCTGACTTCTCTACGGCACTCTCTCTTCCCAGGGTCCACCAACTGTCCCATCCCCGCACCCCTCCAGGCTTAATGGTAAGGGCGCTCTCTAGGTACCGCGCTACCCCTCGTTCCCCATTTCCTGTCAAATCTTTTTATTAGTTCCTTTATTAAGTCTCCTTAAATTGTCTTAGTTTGAATGTACTATCCGTTTCCTGCTGTATGATGATACAAGTGCACGTCATAAACCAGGTGTGCAGTCAGAATTCTAACATGGCCCCAAGAGCCCGCCCCCTGGCGTACATGGCCATAGACTTCCCTCCCCTTGTGTCTAAATATGATGGGACAGTCAGTTCTACAATTACATTATATAAAACTATCATAGCAGACTGGAGATTGTCCTGGCTTTGAAGAAGAAGTTGCCTGTGTTGAGAAGGCCACGTGGCTAGGACAAGAGCGGGAGTTAAGAGTGAGTTCCAACTGGCAGCCAGCAAGAAAACAGGACTTCATTCCTACAATTGTAAGGAACTGAATTCTGCCAACAACCTGTATGAACCTGGAAGAGGACCTTGAGCCTCAGATGAGATTGCTGTTTTGGCCAACACATTGATTTCAGCCTGGTGAGACCCTGGGCAGAGAACTCAGTTATGCTGCTACCCAGTTTCTGACCTACAGAAACTGTGAGCTAGTAAATAGGTGTTTTAAGCCACTGCATTTGTACCAATTTATGGCAATAGAAAATTGATACACTAGGTTTCATCTGCTCCTCCAAATCATAGAGTTGGGTGTGAGCAGCCTTGGTGAAAGGAGACCCTCTATGAGCAGCAGCACTCAGCATGCAGCATTCTTAGCATTTAATGGAAACACATGCACAAAATTGGGCTGGAACAGGTCCAGAAGTTACAAGTAAATTATATGAACACCTGGCCTAGGTTCCTTCAAAACCTGCTGCTGCTTCTTTGCCATGTCTTTTGTGAAATCCCCTTTGACCAGTTAACAGAAGAGAAACCTCTGGAAGCTTGGCTTAGAAATGGGTGTGCATGGTATGCCAGCACTAGCCAGAAGCATGGAGGCTGCATGACAGCTCCACTCAGGGACTATCCCAAAAGACAGTGGCAAAAGGAGATCCTCCTGTGGGCAGAGAACTTCAACTGGTTCCTTCAATTGCTCACTTCATGGAAGGAAAGACAGGCTGAGGTATGGATTTGCATCAATGCATGGGCAGGGATTTACGGGTGCTCAAGGAATGGGAAAAAATGAGATTGGAAAATTGGTTATAAGGAGGTAGGTATGTAGCTAGACCTCTCAAAACAGGCATACCAGCACTTTGGGAGGCCGAGGTGGGAGGATCACCTGAGGCCAGGAGTTCAAGACCAGCCTGGGCAACATAGCATATGTTGTAGAGACTCTGTCTCTACAAAAATAAAGAATATATAAAAATTTTAAAATTAAAAAAAAATTGTAAGGCACAGTATGGGAAGATATTCATGTCCCACATAAATGCCCACCAGGAGACAACCACTGCAGAGGAGGCTCTCAATAACTAGGTAAACAAGAGGACCCATCCTGTGGGTATCAGTTAATCCCTTTGCCCAGCTAGTCCTGTCCTTGCTCAAAGGGCTCATGAACTAAGTGACCATCAAAGCCAGTGTCTTAGTCTGCCTGGGCTTCCATAACAAAATACTACAGGCTGCATGGCTTACACAACAGAAATGTTTTCCTCACAGTTCTGAGGGCTGGGAAGTCCAAGATCAAGGTGTGAGCAAGGTGTGTGCACATGGGGGTGGGATGGGGAAGGGAGGGAGGGAGAGAGAGAGAGAGGGAGACAGAGAGAGAGAGAGAGAAAGAGAATGCACTCTGGTGTCTTTTTTATTTTGAGACAGTGTCCTTCTTTGAGACAGAGTCTTGCTCTGTTGCCTAGGCTGGAGTGCAATGGTGTGATCACGGCTCACTGCAGCCTTGACCTCTCAGGCTCAAGAGATCCTCCCACCTCAGTCTACTGAGTAGCTGGGACTACAGCCATGCTACCATGCCTGGCTAATTTTCTTATTTTTTATTTTTTGTAGAGATGGGGTCTTGCCATGTTGCCCAGGATGGTCTTTAGCTCTTGGGCTCAAGTGATCTGCCCTCCTCAGCTTCCCAAAGTGCTGGGATTATAGGCATGAGCCACCCTACCCAGCTGCCTTTTCTTTTAAGGACCCTAATCCTATTGGATCAGGGCCCCGCTCCTATAACCTCATTTAATCTTAATTAGTTTCTTAGAGTAATCTTGGCCCCATCTCCAAATACAGGCACTGTAAGTTAGGCCTTCAACACATGAATTTGGTGAGGGAGACATAAGTATTCAGTGCATAACCATAGGGAGAGGGGCCTTTCACAGGCGCAACAACAGGGACTTTTTTCACCAAAGCCAATTTGCCTACTGCTGCTGAGATCCCAGGCTGCCAATCACATAGACCAATGTTGCCCACTTGGCCATCCCTCAGGAAACCACGGTGATGGCAAGTTGATTACATGGAACAGTCTCCATCAGGAGGGGTGCTGAAATTCATCCCCAGGGAATCTGGACAGAGATTTGCCTTCTCTACTGGATGCTTCTGCCAGTAATGCCATCTGTGGCCATATGGAATGCCTTACCCATTGCCACACTGCAGTGCCTCCAACCCAGCAACTCAATGGATAGTGAGAGAAGGATGGCCACAGGCTTGCACCTAGTAGCTAGTCTGAGGGATGGTGGAATGGCCTGCTGAAGCTTCTGCTGCGGAGCCAGCGGGGAGGCAGCACACTGTGAGGCAGGGCCCTGTCCTGGAGGCCGGTGGCGTCCTTAGCCAGGGACCAGTACACGGTGCTGTCTCCCACCAGGAGTGTCCCCAGTCCTTCTTTTCTTAATAACAACTTCATTGAGATATAATTCACACGTCATATAAATTTCCTTTTTTAAGTAGCCAATGTGATGGGTTTTAGTACATTCACAGAGTTATGCACCCATCACCACAGCCCCCTCATTCTTGTACCTTAATAACCCACTTATGGAATTCTTGTTTCCCATCTCTGCAACATAACAGATAATGTTGGAGCTCTGCCCAGATTTCCCTCGGATTCTTTTTTCCCATTTTTGGGCCTCCTGGTTTTGGTGTATTTTTGTTTCTAACAGCCACACGTGAGGCTCTTTTTCAGAGAACATCCCTTGGACTCCCAGAGCCTGCCTGGCACACTGGCTCAGGCAGCTGGAGGTGGCTGGGAATTTACTTCACCGCTGGGGCAGCCCTTAACCATGGAGGGAGTCAGAGGCTGACAGCCAGCTGCCCCGCCTCATGTCCACCTAACTCCCAGGGGACACATACATGCCAGCGCTCCCATGTGCTCAGGCTCGGGCTGAGGCTTGCCTGAACTTGGGCCCTTCCTGGGGTTCTTCCCCTTCCCTGTCCTTCCCCTTCTCCCTGACTGGTCTCCCCTGGGAGTGCTTTCTTAATAAGTCACAGGTGCATGAAACCTCATTTTGGACTCTGGTTTTGAGGAAGCTGAACTAAGCAGGTTTGGAGGTCCTACTCCTCAAAGTCTTCCGCCAGGAAACACAGTTGTGATGCCGTTACCTTAGAAAGTGGGGCTGCTGTTGGCTACTCAGACTCCTCGTGCTATTGAGCTGACAGGCAAACAGTTACCACGGTGCCTTGGTTGGGTAAGCTCGATCACCATGCAGCAGCTGGGCTCTGCTGCCAGATGAGAAAAAGGGAGCTTTGCCTGGAACCTGGGCATCCACGGAGGTCAGGGAGAGGTGCTCCCATGTCCTCTAACTGCCAGGGGAAACTGCAGCAGGCAACCAAAGCAGGCTGACTGGGGATTCGGGCCTGGCAGGACTGAAGAACTGGGTCACCTACCAGGTAGAGAACTATCACCAGCCAAGGGGCTCCAAGGGTGAGGGGAGCATGGGGTGGGTGCTGGAAGAAAGAAGCCATGATGACTGTCCTCTGCTTCTTGGTCAGCTACAGACGTGGTGACTACAGCCACTGCCTGCAGGCTGTGTTTATTGGTTGATTTCTTTCCCCATCTCCTACCATTGAGTTAGGGTTCTGGTTTAGGCTTCTGGTGGGAGCATGACTGAAATGCCATTGCTGCACGCTGACTCGGTGGCTGACGGGCTCTGTGTCTCTGCCCCCATTTTGGAAACTAGAGTTTCTTGCTCTGAAAGAAGGGCAAGAATAGACATTGAGCAGCAAAGGGGCAGACTGTGTTAGTCCTGTCTATCCACCCCGCCCCAGCCTATTCTTCGCCCTTCTCTGCCCTGTTCTTTGCCACATGAGGCTGAGCCAGGGTGTGTGAATGGCCTCGCCCAGGCCCCTTGACCCTCTGCTGTCGGCTTGGGTCTGGACAGTGGATGGCACTAGCAAGAGAGCAGAGGGCAGGAGGAGAGCACGGCAGGGATGCTTCTCCCGGGTCCCTCTGTGTGCAGGGCTGCTTTTCCTGGCTGCAGTCACATGTCTTCATGAGCACAACCGCACAGGGCAGACCTTCCTCCACAGGCTCCCATTCGCTCTGGGATCTGGGGACACCAGTTTGTCCCTTTGGCCCTGGGATGGTAACGAGTTCCTGCTGCAGCGTCTCTGAGGGCACCAGTGTCTCTTTGTTTCCCTTAACCCTGCCCACAACTCTAAGAGTTGGTGGACTGTGATTAATCAAGAAATTAAATCTCTTGAACCTACCAAGTTGGCCTCCGTTTCCTACCAGAACCCCCACTGCCAGGACACCTTTTAGACATACAGTCAGAGAGGCTGAGACAACAAAGGAGACATAAGTCTGGAGCCCAGGCGAGCCCTCGCTGCACACAAGATGGAGCAAAAGCATGGACCTGGATGAGCACCCCAGAAGAAGAGCATCCACAAGAATAAAGGAGGGGCTGAAGCCCCAATAGCCAGAGGGCAGGCAGAGAAGGAGGAGGAGCATGAGTGAAGGAGGGGCAGCCCAGGAGGCAGGAATCAGATGAGAGGAGAGTGCTGCCCTGAAGTCTGGAGAAGTGTGTGCAAATGCAGCGGGAGGTCAAGGAAGCAGAAGACAGAGAACTGTCCACTGGATTTGGCCACGAAGTTGTGGCTGGTGATTTCAATCAGTGAGTGAGATGTAATCCTTACCCTCGAGGTAAGAAGAAAGAAGAATTGCACAGAAGAAACAAGTGCAATAATGTCTTGGAGACATATGCAAGCCATGCCTGGCAGCAACGGACAGAGAACAAAGGAGAGCAAGGCTGGACTTCTGGGGAAGCTCAGAACAGGCTCCATGGAGTAGGGAGGAGGCCCCGTGGGAGGGGTGACCCAGGCAGAGGGTGCTGCGTGAGCAAGGGCTGAAGGCATTTTGGGAAATTCTAATGCAACGGGGACAATGTGGCATAGAAACCCCCGAAATGGTCAGCTGAACTGGAGGTTGTGAGAGGACTTTGATTACTGACCTTTGCCTCTCAATCCCCCAAACAGCGGAGAACCAGGGAAGAGTTTTATGTGGGGAAATGCTCATATCTGGGTATTCGGACGCTCATGCTGCAATGCATAAGGACAATATCTAGCTCATCCTAAGGGCCCAGCACAAAGCCTAACATGTCCTAGGCACCCAATAAATGCTATTGCCTTAGTGGATAGAACATGGGCTGTTTCTGATGTTGCAGATGGTGGCTGACATCACTCCATGACTGATGTGAATATGCCACGGTAGTAAAAAAAAAAATCAGTCCAAATTGAAAAATTAAAAATCCAAGAGCCAGATGTAGAAAACCACTGATTTAATTAAAGACTGACAATGGAAATGGCCAGGGTCTCAAAACCAGGTATGTTTTGCACATCAGAACAAAGTGTCATGATATCTTGCTTTCCCATGCAAAGGGGGGACAATTGTTCCAGCAAGTGGTCGACAGCGTTGGGAGGCAACTCAGTGTTTGGTGGGAAACTGGATTATAGCTGGAAATTAATTGTCCATGAATGCGGAGAAACAGCCAAGTCCACGTGGAGTGTTCCATGGATTGCATCTACTACCAAGAAGAAAGAAACAAAGAAAAGAAAACAGATTTTCTGATTTCAATTAAAAAAAAAAAAAAGAAAGAAGATGAAGAAAAGACACCACCCAGCAGCTAATTACTCACAGGCCAATGCCTGTGCTAGCTCAAATGCAAGAGCTGACATGATAAAATGTTAGCATCTTGCGATCTGCTGTTAATAAAATGTAGCACAAAGGCACAGAGGAGTTTTACATCTGCTCACAGGATGCCGCACAGCTTGGGGAACCCTCCCCAGCCCGCCTACCCAACTGCTCGCTCACCAGGACTGTCATGAAACCCCTGATCCTAGGCTTGGGAGAAGCAAAGGATGCTGTTGTATGGAGGCTGGACAGTTCCAGAAGGGGTAAGAGGTGAGGCTGGAGCCTGCTTACCCAGACATCCTCCGCAGACTGGCTAAGGGTCTATCCTGAATGCAGTGGGATTGGCGTAGTGGCCCTGCTTGAGAAGAAAACCTTAGCAGGAGAAACCTTCAGGAAATTAAGTTAGCAGTCATAGCAAAAGATTGGAAACAACCTAAACGTCTCTTAGTAGGATTAAATAAGGGTGCATCAATTCAACGAAATACTACACAGCTGCTAACAAGAAAGAAGATGTGAGGATCTTCAAGCTCTAATGCTGAAGTTCATAACTGGGGTCCTAGAGAGAATTAAGGGCTCTGTGAACTAGGATGAGGGAATCACAGCTTGATTTTTCACTAACCTCTAACTATAATTCAGTGTCTCCTTTAATTATGAATGTAGGCCCCAAAACCCCAGTAGAATTAGCTGTGACTTGGTCACTGACAGAAATCACAGATATTCTCGTCTCACTTTACGGTTGTGGCACGTATCTCAAAAGATCAATTACATCACTACTTTGAAACTATTACTAGTGATTAGATCCACGGCTAGACCTTGGTATTTAATGTGTTAGCCAGGAATAACATGTATTACTAAGTGGCAAATGTATTTCTCTATTTTGACAAGTGTATTAAACCTAATTGGTTTCCTCTATAACCTTATGCGTTTTGTTTTATCCACTTAAATCACTACTCTAAGAAGGGGTCACTGGCTTCACCAGACTGACGATGGGGTTCATGGCATGAAAAAAAGGCTCAGAAACCCTGATCTGATGTTAACAAACATAGTGACATGCAAAAGTGTGGATCATATGCCACTGTATGTGTGTTTGTTCAAAACACAGATCAATTGAACAGAATAGAGAACCCAGAAATAGGCCCACATACATCTGCTCAATTGATTTTTAACAAAGGCACCAAGAAATTCAGTGGAGGAGTCTATGGTGCTGGAGCGACTGGACATCCACAGGCAAAAAAAGGAACCTTAATCTACACCTCAACACCTGATACAAAAATTAATTTGAATGTGAACTGTAAAACTGAGTCAGAATAAATGGGATGGATCTTATCGATGTCAATATTCTGGTTGTGATGTTGTACTGTAGTTTTGCACAATGTCACCATCGGGGGGAGCTGGGTAAATGGTACACAGGATTTCTCTGTATTATTTCTTACAACTGAGTATGAATCTATAACAACCTCAGAATTAAAATTTAATCTAAAAAAGCTTTTATATGTATAAATTATCTCTGGAAAGAGACACAAAAAAGAGGGATATCTCTGAAGGATATAAGTGAGCATGAGAAATAGAGGTGGGAAAACATATCTGTTCCTTGCTCATACTTTAAAATTGTTTACCATGTTTGTGCATTATTTATATTTATAATTAATTATGTTTAAACAAAAACAAACAAAAAGCCTGGAGAAAGATGAAGAAATAACCATGAAAAGAAACTATCCTAGGAAAAATCAAAACTATTTCCCAGGTAACATTTGAATTAAAAGCACTAATACTGAAAAATTTCCCATCTACTTTGTGAAACGGATAAGGCTTAATTTTTTTTTTTTTTTTTTGACATGGAGTCTCACTCTGTCACCCAGGCTGGAGTGCAGTGGCGTGATCTCGGCTCACTGCAACCTCCACATCCCGAGTTCAAGCGATTCTCCTGCCTCAGCCTCCCGAGTAGCTAGGATTACAGGCACAGGTCATCACACCTGGCTAATTTTTTATATTTTTAGTAGAGACGGAGTTTCACCATATTGGCCAGGCCGGTCTCAAACTCCTGACCTTGTGATCTGCCGGCCTCGGCCTCCCAAAGTGCTAGGATGACAGGTGTGAGCCACTGCACCCAGCCCTACAAGGCTTAAATTTTAATATGCTATTAATACTCATGTTTTTTTTAAAAACTCAACTTCATGTTTGTTTGTTCATCATTTTCAAAATGAAATTAAAGGATTTGGAAATTTCTGAGAAATGATTTCATTCCTCGTGTAGGACCTAAGCTAGTTGTTCTTTGCTTTTGACTGGTCCACACTCACTGAACCCCAGCTGGGCAGCAAGTCCTGGGGGGACCACTTCCCCAAGACTCCCTCTCAGAGAAGCAGGAGAGCACAGTGCAGCTAGGAACTTAGCTCTGCACTCAGGTGGAACTTGAATTTGCCACTTATGGACAGGGCAACTGAGGGGGAAAATCTAATCTCTGTAGGCCTCAGTTTTGCCATCTGTAAGATGAGGTACTTGGTGCCTGCCTGAGGGGTCACTCTGAGGACTCAGAGACAGAATGCGTAGGAAGCATTCAGCACAGTGCCTGGAATGTGGGGAGCACCAGGAAGTAAAGAGCCTTGGTCATTTCTAGCCTCTGACGTGGTCTCAAAAAGGTCACTGCCTTCAAGCATCCAATGACACAGGTGCCATCAAAGAAGGTGTTTCACACAAGCACTCCTGCATCCTCAGAGCACCACTGAACCAATGTTACCAGAGGACAAAGTAAGGCTTGGAAAAATTACATGATGAGCCCAACAATACACAGCTAGGAAGAGAAAAGGAAGAAGAGCGAGGTCCAAAGACCCCAGCCTTAGCCAAGGAGAGGAGGCCTTGGCTCACGCAGCACCTCAGGAAGAGGAGCCTAGGCCCAGGCCCACCAAGACCATAGCACCCAGCAGTGGAAGGAGCTGTGAGAATCTCCAGGACTGCTAGGAGAGGACCTCATCCCCCCCTCCCCCCATGGCTTGAGGATACATTTTGTCTCCAAGAGGGAGCAGAGTACCTCTACCCCACTCTCCTCAGAAAAGTGGGCTGGGTGTGGTGGCTCACGCTTGTAATCCTAACACTTTGGAAGGCCAAGGCGGGAGGACTGCTTGAGCCCAGGAGTTCGAGACCAGCTTGGGCAACATAGTGAGACTCCATCTCTACAAAAAATTTAAAAATTAGCCAGGCATGGTGGCATGCCTGTAGTCCCAGCTACTCCGGAGGCTGAAGCAGGAGGGACACTTAAGCCTGGGAGGTTGAGGCTGCAGTGAGCCATGGTCACACCACTGTACTCCAGCCCGGGTAACAGAGTGAGAACCTGTCTCTGAAAATACCCCTCCTCACCTTGCTCCATCCTGGCCACAATAGCAAGCATTCTGCCAATCTCATCTCACGTAGTGGGGCTCATGGTGAAGCCTAGGCCACAGCAGGAGCTCAAGCCGCAGAGATGCTGAAAATCTCTGGTGGACTGGGGCGTTATACCTGAGACCCTGAGGGCTCTTCCTGCTGACTCACCATGATGCCAGCTTTAGGATTCCCTCGGGGCCTTGCATGCTATGGTGAATGGAGTGGGCAGTGGTTGAGGAGGTAAATGCCCTTAGGCCACACTCCCCATGCTGCGCCTGAATTTGCCCAGAAACTAGGGCGCGTCATGGGTTCTGTGTTCAATAAATCCCAGGATGGCAACTCAAAGCAAAATGGATATTAAAAACTCCGTAACTGGTGCCCAGGGACCCATGTTGCCCTCTGCACACCCTTGTCCACACTTCTATTATACCTGGGGCTCTGCCACTTACAAACGGTGTGACTTCGGGCAAATCTCCATCCCTGTGTGTGCCCCACTTTCTAGAACGGGGATGATAATGCAACCCTTCCATGGGTCGTGGTGAGAATTAAACCAGGGAAGGAATGCAGGGCTTGGCACACAGTATAGTTTCAACGAAAGCTGACTTTCTGACCCCTCTGTAATGTCCCAGCAAACAGAGCAAAAATGTAAGGCAAAAGATACCGCAGTAGGTGGCCAAAGGCTGGGCCAACTGAACCCTCCACCCGGAAAACCACACATGCCCTGGATTCACGCATCCATTGGCAACATGCACTGGGCTAACCAGGGCCAAGCCCCACATTGGAAGTTGGGGACAGAGGCTTAAGAGCCCTTGCCACTGCCTGCAGGACGTTCCCGGGCCTGTGGGAGGGGCATCTACTCAGTGGGGTCAGCGGCCTTGACGGAAGGCAGCAGCGGGCAGGGCAGGCCCCACGAGCTCCTAACCCACGCTGAGGCTGAGGCCCGGTGTCCTGAAGAAGCCGGCGCCGGAACTAAGTCTGAAAGGACAATAGATGACTAGGTGAAGCTGGAAGGAGTCTAGGCAGAGGACTGTCCACGCGCAAAAGTGCGGAAAGGAAAGAAAGCGGGCGAATGTGCTATGGAACACGAGGATGGGGGTGGTGTCTAAAGAAAAGTTAGGAGGGCATGGATGTCACAGGCAGGGCTGCGCAAAGACAACTCGCTGAAGTTGGCGATTGCATAGCCTAAACTAGAGGGAAATTCCTAGTCTCCGGGGTGCGCTCCAAGCCCGCCGCTGCAGAAAC
Source organism: Homo sapiens (assembly GCF_000001405.40). Classification (NCBI taxonomy): domain Eukaryota; kingdom Metazoa; phylum Chordata; class Mammalia; order Primates; family Hominidae; genus Homo; species Homo sapiens. The sequence continues at coordinate 53,470,432 of NC_000001.11, read as the reverse complement.
CTATTCCTCCAGCCCGGCGAGCAGAGGCGCAGCGACCGGCCCACATGCTCCTAGTGGGAGGCCGGTCCCTAGGCAACAGGCCCCGGCCCCGCCCGCAACTGCTGCCGTCGCGCCCTCTCCCGGCGGCGCCCTGCCAGGGCACCGGGGTCAGGGAATGACGGCTGGTTGCCTTCCAGAACATTATCCCGGCCATCTGGGATGAAGAGTGCTGCCCCTGGCGGCCAGTCTCTCGGCTTTCCATCCTTTTTCTGCCTGGACCTGGACGACCCCAAGCCCTCCAGGAACTGGGCTGGGCCAGCCAGTGAGGGAGAGGCTGGAGAGGCCAGCAGGCAGGTCCTTATTATTATTATTATTTTTGAGATGAGGTCTTGCTCTGTCACCCAGGCTGGAGTGCAGTGGTGTGATCACAGCTCACCGCAATCTCCACCTCCCAGGTTCAAGCGATTCTCCTGCCTCAGCCTCCCGAGTAGCTGGGATTACAGGTGTGAGCCACCATGTCCGGCTAATTTTTGTATTTTTAGTAGAGATGGGGTCTTGTCATGTTGGCTAGGCTGGTCTCGATCTCCTGACCTCAAGTGATCCGCCCACCTCGGCCTCCCAAAGTGCTGGGATTACAGGCGTGAGCCACCGTGTCCGGCCAGAGGGAGCAGGAAGGAGCCACGGAGGGCTTGTATGCAGAGCAGCAACATGAGCAGAACTGGTTTTTCAGTGCTCATGCTGTTGCTGCTGGAGGCCTGCCTGGAGGAGCTGGGCATTCAGGGATCATGGCTTGGGCTGCCTGGCAAAGCTGCGGGGAGCAGGGGTCTACCACCTACCAGGGGAAGTAACCGCAGTGAGCCCACAGGGGCAGGAAAGGGCAGGCTGGGTGCTCACAACTTGGGGTTCATACCGGGGAAAGGTAGGAAGGCAGGCCTTCCTGAAAACCAGTAAGCCAGGGGGCAGCACTGGGACAAGCCCCTGACCCCCAGTTGGTCTTTTCACCCCAGCAGGTGCCTCCAAGGCTCCAGGAAAGATGCCGACCAATTTCTGGAGATTCATCAGCTCACAGGCCTACAGGGGAAATGAGAAATCCTCCCATCCTGGAGTCGTGTGAGCATCAACCCCTCCAACAGGACATTACTCTTCTCCAAAGACCAAAGCCTCCTATCTCCCCACAGGCTAACTAAACAACCCATTTCCTTGCATTGGTCTGGAATAGTTGTGGTGTCCATGTGGCCACAGAGACTGTTTCATACTTCTGCGTGTGTGCTGACCAGAAACAGGAAAGCAGCTTTATTTGAGTAGTGCAACTTGGTTGGAAAATCTTTCAAAATGTGGAGTCTAAGATAAAACTTCAAGTGTTATGAAAAAGTAAGGTTACCAGCCAGGTGCGGTGGCTCACGCCTGTAATCCCAACACTTTCGGAGGCCGAGGCGGGCAGATCACAAGGTCAAGAGATCGAGACCATCCTGGCTAACATGGTGAAACCCTGTCTCTACTAAAAATACAAAAAAATAAATAAATAAAATAAAAATTAGCCGGACGTGGTGGTGGGCGCCTATAGTCCCAGCTACTCAGGAGGCTGAAGCAGGAGAATGGCGTGAATCCGGGAGGCGGAGCTTGCAGTGAGCCGAGATCGCACCACTGCACTCCAGCCTGGGCGACAGGGCGAGACTCCGTCTCAAAAAAAAAAAAGAAAAAAAGAAAAAGAAAAAGTAAGGTTACCAATCCAGCCCCACCCTGCTGTACTGGCAGGTCAGGGGTTCAGTTAGGGCATGGTGATTGATGTCAAGTGCAACCAAAAGGCATGTCTTCTCCCACCCTCTCAGGGTCCTGCAGCACTGTGGTCCCCAAGGGGAAGACCAGCACTGGGGTAAGTGATAGCTTCAGCCCCCAAGCCAGGGTAGTCCCAAATCACCGCATCATCCTGTCCAGGCTGACACCAGTGCTGACCTGCAGACCTCAGGCCTCAGCATGCGTGGTCTGCCCTGCTGAAAACACTCTTATGTCTGTATAGCAGTAACTGAAAAGTTCTTGTGACAGTGCCTGCCTCCAGTGCCTTCCAACAAAGCCCAGGCCCTAGGCCCCAGCCACCACACTGACGTAAGAGAATAGTTAGGGTATCACTTCTCAATGATCCCCCCACTACCTATCCCAGGACTTAGGAGGATGCCTGGACACCTCTGCCCACAGGCAAAAAAGGAAGTAAAGTTGACCTGTTCTCTTGGGTGCCAGCCCTTCCCTGGACAGAGAACAGGACACTGCCCTGACCATGGAATCCTTCACACCAGGTCCCCATCCTCCTCTGCATCCTTACTGGGAGTACTCATCTCTTTCTTCTCTGCCTAACTCATTATTGCCCCTTATGTTGTGGTTGAGGCCCTGACTCCTGCAGAAGGCTTTCTCTGACCACTCCCACAGCCTCCCTACCTCTCTGTTCTAGTATGAATCCCCTAAGACTCTCTGTCTCTCCCACTAGATGTCATGTTCCTCATGGGCAGAGCTGGGAACTGTCAAGTTCTGAATCTAGTAGAAACACAGGATGTTTTCTAAATGAAGGTATAAATGCAACCAATGGAAGAAGCCGAGGACCCTAAAACAGAATTGGTTCAAGTTCTGTTTTTTTAAATGCATGTTCCTATGCAGGGACTATGGAAGGAGCTGGAGGAAGGAAACTAAGACATCTTTACATTTTGTGTGTCTACATCAGATTTCCTTAAAAGGTCTCCATTGCTTAAAATAACAACAGTAATAATAAAGAAGTCTACTAGCCTGGCCCAATCCCCTCACTTGATAAAGAAAGGGGAGGTAGAACAGGGAGGGCAGGAACTAAAAATAGGAACTAAGCAAGTGCAGACAAGGCCAGCCACAGGCCACAAACCAAGGCCCCCAATCTCCCCAACTCAGGCTCCTGCCAACCCTACCTTCCACCAGGATCAAAGGGAGAATAAGCCTTCCACAAGGATTTCCATTGCTCATTTTATTTCAATAGCCAACTGTCCTCACAGAAGAAACTGTTCATGTCACAGGTGATCAGAAGCACCATTCTATTCCCTAGGGACTGCATCAGTGCTTATGAACAGCCTACTTTTTAAAGTTGGCAATCACTATAAAAACATCAAATAGTCAAACTAATAAATTTTTTAAAACCAGTGCCCATAATGGCTGAAACTTTATGGAGGGGGAATGAAGTAGCCCCAGCAGCCAGGATGCTTGCTAGTAAAACCCCTTAGAGGAGGGGCAAGGGGCTGTGGCCAGGAAGATGTGGGGGACAGAGCAGCAAGGCAGGATGCTGCAGAACCTGCTGTCAACGACCCTGGTCCTGGCTGCTGGCTCCAGCCACCTGGATGAACTGGAATCTTGATGTCTGTGGTGCCCCCAGCAACCTGGAGGACCAGGCAAAGGCAGCAGAAGGCTGAAATAGATGGTGCCTCCTGTCCTAGAGTGGGGCCTGAGGAAATCAAATACTGCCTCTGGGGCTTGTTCCAATAAATGGTAGTGTAACCCAAGGACAGTTAAATTCATTCCTAAATGGGAGCTTCTCCCAGCGCCCACTCCTCAGAGCCCTGGCCCTCCCCTGGTAATAGCTTCCTCCACACTCTTCTTCAACTGTACAGCGCAGGATTGAAACTTAGAAATTGCTCTCCTTCCTCCTATCTTAAACTGGGAATCAGTTGCCATCTATGCTATCAACCTCCTTCCTCCCTACATATCACTGAATGAAGACAAGAAAACTGTTGCTGTTGCCCCCCAGTGCCCCACTCTGCTGGCCAGGAGGGCGGGCCTGGGGCCTAGTCGGACTGCTCCTGAGACGATGGCTGGCTGGGCTCACCCGACAGTACCTCTGCATCCTGGTCATCTGTGAAGGACAAAGAAGGTAGCTGGATTTAGAAAGAGCGAAAATTACAACTACCTATTTGCAGATGAAGATTTTCTTTTTTCTTATTTTATTTTAATTTTTTTGAGACAGAGTCTCGCTCTGTCACCCAGGCTGGAGTGCAGTGGTGTAATCTCAGCTCACCGCAACCTCCACCTCCCAGGTTCAAGCAATTCTCCTGCCTCGGCCTCCTGAGTAGCTGGGATTACAGGCACCCGCCAACATGCCCAGTTAATTTTTGTATTTTTAGTAGAGACAGGGTTGCCCCATGTTGGCCAGGCTGGTCTTGAACTCCTGACCTCAGGTGATCCACCCACCTCACCCTCCCCAAAGTGCTGGGATCACAGGTGTGAGTCACTGTGCCCAGCCCAGATACAGATTTTCCATAAGCCTTTCTCATCATTCCCAGCCCTAGGGGAGAATGTATTTTCTTTAACTTGTTAGGCGCCAGGAGCCTGGAATCCTAGCCTTGGCCATGTGATTCAGATTCAAGTTCCAGCTCTTGCTCTGCTCGTCACAAGCTGGGAGGAATTAGCAAGATACTCCACAGCTCTGAACCTCAGCTTCCCCTTCTGTAAAATGAGACGTATCCACCTTGCAATGGCAGCATGGGCACTAAGTGAAACAGACAGTGATAGGCCACCTTCACCAATGCCTTCATCACTTCAGGTTCTGTTTAATCCTCAGAATCCTCATGAGGTAGGGACCATTATTAGTCTCCTTTTACACATGATGAAACTGGAGCACCAAAGAGTAAATGAGCTTGCTCAAGTTACACAGCTGGGCAAGTGCTGGAGCCAGGACTCACACCCAGGCCACCCAGCACTGGGGCCAGTGGTTTTCAGCCACATGAAACCACCTCTCCAGCTACTGGATCTAGGCACTGCACACACAGGAAGTGTGCAACAGGCCTCAGTTTCCTCTTCAGTAAAATGGTGATACCACCAGACTCCTCTAGCTCATAAGATGGTCTGACAGTCATTTTAAAGGCCTAGTTGAGTTTGTCAGTTCTTTCCAAATCATAGGAGCCCCAGGGGAAGACTGAAAGGAAAAATGTCCTAGAAGCTTTAAAGCTGCAAGGGCCCTCAAAAGAAAACCCAAAACATTTTCACATCCAAAAGTTTCTTCGACCCTCACAGTAACCTAGTAAGGGGGCCCCTTTTATAGTTGAAAAGCCTCAGTGCCCAGGATCATCCAGTGCCCCAGTGGCAGAGCTTGTGAAGGACAGATTCTCTAGCTCCTGGTCTGGTTCCCTCAGAGTGGCCTGGGGCAGAGGCACAGCCCCACCACACGGGTTCCTGCTGCTGCTCCAGTCTCTCCATCTGCTCCCCTACCCCAGCTAGAGAGGCCTGGCACCTCTGGTCTTCCAAACACACCATATGCCTGCTGTCTTCCACAGCACCGCCCACGAGCCAATAAGGTGAGTGAACAGGCACTAGACTGGGAGCTAGACTGAAAAACTCTGTTCAAATCCCAGCTCTGCCATTTATACCCAAGAGAACTGCTGGAGGCCCTGGTTTCCTCACCTGGAATCCCATTCCCACCTCCCTTAGATGTGTGCCTATGGGGACTGGAGGAAGGGTGTAAGAAGGAGCTCATTCTAGGGCTCAACACCCTTTAAATTCCATGTCCCTTCTCTCCACACCTAACCTTTCTTCAGATTAGGTACCTCTTCCTCCAGAAAGTCTCCCTGGCTCTCGCTGAAGCTGGAAGACTGGAGCTCACTCACCAGTGTTCTCCTTGTCAGTATCAAACAGGACGGTCAGTGAGAAAGATGATGGAGGTGGTGGTGGCGGTGGCGGGGGGAGGAAGTGGAGCGCAGAGAGGTAGCCTGGCGGGAGGAACTGGGGCTGCGGTGGAAGCGGTGGAAGGGGCGGCAGTGGCGGCGGCGGCGGCGGCAGGTAGTAGCTTGGCTGGAAGTCTCCTCCTGGTTCTGACACCTGCACGGCACACACAGCAGAGAGGCGGAGAGGAGAGAGAGTTAGCCAGATGGGCTGACCAAACATAGCTCTCACCCCTGAAGTGGGGGGCTCCTGATGGGGTAGATGCACGGCCCCAAACACACAGGCACAGGGCATTTGGAAGGGGGCATTCAGCAAACACCTGCCAAATTATTGAAGGCAAGAAGGAACACAGGCAACCTCAGATAAGCATGGGAACAGCTGAACGGTCACAGTGACAGAGCCCTTCTGTATATGCCAGGGCGATTGTGCTTGGGTGCTCAGAATCCTAGGCGGTGGGTTCTATTACTATTCTTGCTGTAATTATGAAAAACAGGTTCAGTGAGATGAAGCTACAGGCCCAGGGCCGCAGAGCTGCTTTGTGGTTAAGGGGCAGAACTGGATCCCAAGTTGGCTGACTCCATAGCCCACTCAGCTGACTTCTGTCCAGCGCTGCTCTGCACTGGGGAAGGGTCTGAACGCATCCCAACCCCACAGGACCCCCTGTCTGGCACATGTGGTGACTTAAACTCAAGTGCCAGGGGGGCCTTTGGGAGAAGAGGTTGGCAATGTGGGTGTAGCGCAGCTGTTTCTGAGGCAAGATACACTGGGTGACTTCAGGCAAGTGGCCTCACTGATGAACATTTTGCTGCTTCTGTCCCTTCTTCAAGGGATGGAATCCAACCCCTTACCACAGCACAGGGCCCCATCAGAGGATCTGGAGAGGGGATGACTGCACAACTCAGAGCTTAACCAAGAAACACACAAATGTCGTAAGAAATAATACTGAGTTTTGGATGTAGTTCCTGTCATTCACTTCTCTATCCAGATGCTTCAGAGCAACACATCCTGAGCTGAGTTTCATGGAGTCCTGGTGTCCTACAAAGTATTTTTTAGTACTCTTAAAAGTGTTCTTTGTTAAGTGAGTTTGAGAAACCCCATATACTGCTCCCCACATTAGTGGGTCACACATGAGCATATTAAAGGCTTGGAAGAGTCTGCAAAAATCTCCTTAGATTAACCCAGCACTTCCTAACTTCGTTCAACCAGCAGGAAGGGAAGAAATCTCACTTTTAAGTACCTACTATGTGCCAGACCCTGTGCTAGGTATTTTACATGCATCGCCTTATCTATTCTCAGGAGCCCTAATAGATAGGTCCTCTCACTCCCATTTTACAGACCAAGACCCGAGTGAGGTCCTCAGAGGTCAGATAACTGCCACGGGTCACGTGGCTGGGACACGACGGGGGAGGCAGAATTGGACCCTAGGTCTGCCCACCTCCAGGGCCAGTGCTGTCCTGTGAACAGGAGGGCAGAGGAAGCCAAGCAGCAGCAGGTGGGCAGGGACAGGAACAGGAAGGAGGAAACTGTTCTGGAGAGCACCTCCAAGCCTTGGCAGGGGGCAGCAGGACAAGGATGAAAGTGATTCAGGGGCTCTTGGGTTTGAAACAGCTCACAAATCAATGCCTGATTCTCTCTCCAGACTTGAGAGGGTGGAAGAGGGATTATTAGTGCTTTAATTCCAAGCTTCTCAGCCAAGCATCTCCCTGGATCACAGCTCCTGCCTGGGGCCTGTGGTGGCAGCTCAGGCCCAGATAAACCGACTGAGATCACACTCTTAACAAAGGCCGTCTGGCAGGCCTGTCAATCAGAGCGCTGCCCTGGACGCCAGGCTCCAGACTTCTGTGTGAGCAGACGGAACGTGCTTTACTTGGCCAGAGCCCCTCTCTTTGTGTGGAGGCTGGAGATGCCTGGCTCTCCCTGGGCAGTGCCCACAGATGTCAGGCAGGCAGCAGTGCTGGTGTGAGTCAAGGGCCATGTGTGTTCTACCTCTGTGGGAGGGAGGGAAGGGCAGTGGAAAGCACCTGGGCTCCAGAGTCAGGGCGACTGAGGTGCACGACCCGGCTCTGTCACCAACCAGCTGTGTAACTGGAATCCCAGTCTCTCTCTCACCAGTTTTGTGACCCTGGCCAAAAACTTAACTTCTCTGAGCCTTTTTTTCTCGATGCTACAATGGGGTATAATACCTGCCTTGAAGGTTCAATAGACACCCTGGAATTATCAAGGCCAGTGGCTTTCAAACTTTCTTCCCTTGAATCAGTGGAAAATGATTTTTAAGCACAATCTCACAACATCTAAGATAAGTGGAAGAGAAGCTGCTGCCGCCAGGCTGAAGCAGGAGTGAGGACCCAGTGACCTGTGTGCCCAACCTGCCCGGGTGAAGCTCGAGCCCCATTGGACTGGCTCCACACTGTGCAGCTAATGACTTTCATTAAGGAGAGAGGGGGCTTTTAGCCATCCTAGTCTGGAAGGAGCTGGTAATCAAGGCCATAAAACTCAATCACACCTGCCTCGTAGTACACACCACAGGGATGACCTGACTTTACACACTCGCTCTCAAAATTCCCAGCTTACAGAGAATACCAGCTAACGACTGACCTTTATTAATCTTATAAAAGGATTAAATTTCATTCTTTCAACAGGTATTTCCTAAGGTGTCAAGTGTTTGGGGGAAGGTTTCCGTATTTTTCATGACTCCGCTCAAATGCCACCTCCTCCTGAAAGCCCTCTGCAGTCTCAAGTGTGCTATACCTGTGGGCAGGGAGCCTACCTCTGGTCCTGGCTCTGCCCTAAATTTTGTGGTCCCAGGAAGGTGATATGCCCTTTCTGGAGTCCAGCAAAATGAAGGGCCCTTCTAGCATCAGCATCAGTCAAGGAAGGGGTCATCCTGAACGCTCAGAGCCTTTCAGCCCACTGCCCTGAAAAGCACAGGCCATAGCCCAAGCCGAGTGGTGCAGACTGGTCCACACGTGTGCTCCCAGAGACACACACACTGTGCCTGGGCAGTGCCTAGTCCTCCACCAGCACTCGGGGGCTGGCATGGCGTGGGCACAGTTTATGACAGCTGGCTTCCTGGGACTGAGGATCCATCAAGGCAGCAGGGGCAGACTGGGTGGAGGAAGCTGGCAAGAAGTGAGGGGTGGGACTCACCAAGCCTCCGCCTTGGTACTGGCTGCGGGACACATGCCGGAAGCCCTGCTGCAGGGGGACGCCAGGAGGGGCGTCCAGGTAGCCCAGCGGGAACGGGCAGTAGGGGTGCATGCTGGAGCCACCAGGGTACTCAGGGCCCAGTGCACGGTCCGGGTTGATGTTCAGAGGGCGCACTAAAGAACGCAAGCAAGGAGGGAAGTGTTAGACACCGCTGGGAAAAGCATCCGCAGGGCGGCCCAGGGCGGCGGGGTCATCAGCGCTGCCGTCCAAGCACAGAAAGCCCACCCCGCACTTCCTTCCGCTGGGCCCTCACTGCATCTCCATCCTCCAGCCAGCCCCACTGCTCTTGGAAAGTCCTCAGCACGGCCATCAAGCCCGCTGTGGGCCGGGGCCGCCTCCAGACCTCCCCGCTGCCCCACACACCGTCAGCCCGCACTCTGCCTCTCTGAGGCCTCAGTGCCGAGCTCCTCCTCCTCCTCCGGGTCACAGTGAACCCGGCCATGGCTCAAGCCCTGGACACTGATTTGTGTGACTCTTTGATCAACCCTGTCCCTCCCACAAGGACAAGGTCCTTGAGGGCAAGAAATGTGACCCGCGTCCTCCATCACGAATGCCTGGCTCATGGTTCGGCTCAGCCCTGCTTGTCTGTTGAGATGGAAAAAAGAAAGGTGGCTTCTCCTAGATCTGCAGTTTCAGGCCTGTGACCCTGTCAGATGGGACGTTCCCTGGGGACCTAGATTTTCCTGGAAAGTCAGGGGGGCGGGACGAGCCTGCGGGAGCCTCCGGACCAGTGCCCTGGCACACAGAGGGCAGGAGCTTGTCCAGCGTGACCCGGGCCCCCGCCTCGGCCTGAGCCCGTCCCACCACACCACCACGGGGGAGACACCAGGAAAACGCGTCCGCACCAAACCCCGGGGCTTCTAAAGCTTCAAATGTACATGTGACTTGAAACTACTTCAATACCAAAAGCTCCAAGGCACAGGGAACAATGTAATTTATGTACAAGGTGAAGGGAGAAAAGAAAGGCAACATCTTTACTGACCAACTGTTCTCGTGTGTGGAGTAAAGAAGCAGGCTCCCCTCACCTGCACGTGGGGAAACGGAGGGAAGAGGTGCGCAGGCGCACTGGGCCAGGGCGGAGCTGAGGGGAGGAGCCTCCCGACCGCGAACCGGGAGGGAAGAGTGCGCAGGCGTCCTTGCGCTAACGTGCCGGCAGGAAAATTCTGTTATTCTGGAGGAGGAGCCTCCAGCCCAAGGAAATGGCGGGAAGAGGTGCGCAAGAGCAGTAGGACTCGGCTCCTCGAAGCCTCCCCCGGAGGAGGAAGCACTGCTAAGTCGACTGGACGCCATTTTGTTCTTGCATGCCGGAATGGCACAAACTACAGCTAAATGTTAAAAGCCCTCTGAACCGCCCATTCCTTTCTGTTTCTCGTTTCCTTTTTGCGAAAAGTTACCCAATCCAAATCCCTGTTCGAAGAAGGGTTTCTCAAAGCGGAAGGTCCGTTACCCGTGGAAAAACTTCTCTCCACCCCGAACCCCTATGCCAGCTCCCCATCCGGGCTGGCCTGGGCTGCCAGCTCCGGGAGTCGACCGCGGGACCAAGGCCACGACTTACCAAAGTCGGTGAACAGTGGGCCGGGCACGGTCCGCATCGGCCTGCGCAGGTCTAGGGGGCCAGGGTAGCCACTGCCTGCGGCCTCCGCCCCAAAAGGGGGTCCCGCAAGGCTGGGCATCGCCACGGCGGCTCGCTCGCTCGGCTCCACGTGGCTGCGGCCGCCCAGAACCGGCTGGAGGGCTCTCGGGCCGGGGTTCCGGCCCCGCGGGGGCTGCTCGAAGAAGCAAGCGGCCGCGCGGCCCTCGGGTCCCGGGTCGGCGTCTCCGGAGGGAGTCCCCGGGGACAGCGGGCGGAGGCTCGCGGCCGGGACGGGGACGGGGGCGGGGGCGGCGGCCGCAGCCCCGGAGGCCTGCTTGGGCCCCTGCGCACACAGGGCCGCCTCCTGCTCCTCCTCGGCGGCCTGCGTCTTGAGCACCTTCTGCGCGGCCATGATCTTCTGGCGCTCGGAGATCAGGTAGCACTTCTCGCAGAGGCACTGCTTCCAGCGGCATTTGCCCGCGTGTCCCTTGACGGGCACCAGGAAGCCATGGTTCCTGCATCTCGAGCACTTGGGGGTGCGCACCATTTTGTCGGCCATTGGCAGGGTCAGCCTTCGTAACACAACCACCACCTCTGGGAGCTGCAGAGCAAGTGGCGCTGGGATGAGCCGCGCCCCACAAGTCCCTCGTTCTGGGGACATTGGATACACTTGTAACAAAGCGGCTCGCAGTGTGTCCCGGGAACTGCAGCAGGAACCTTGCATTTTCCCTCCTTTTGGGGGGTGCACAGTTTGGAGAGTTTCTGTGCTTTGGGTAATTAGATGCAATGGATTGGGTTGAATAAATTCTTCATGGGATGCTATTGCATGTATGTCATTTAGCTTATCTGAAGTCTTAGGCATGTAATTTTCCAAACTCTGTTCCCGCCACCGACGGAAGGTATTTGTAACTTTATGAAAGGCGGAGTGATATTCAACGGTCCACAAATTTAAAACTCGGGAGGAATGTAGCTCTCGGTGTAGAAAAATACTGTAAGAGGCAAACTGTATTTCTTCTCCCCAAAGCTGCTCCTTCTGTGGCAGTTCACTTCTCTGCCCTGCAGAGATGCTTCCAGGATATTCCAGAATATTCTCAAGAGTTCAGTGCAGTGTGATGGTTGCTCAAGGGTATGCCCTTACAGTAATTCCCGTTTCTTGAGAGTCTTGATGTAGGAATGCATTTCTGGATGTTGATGCCTTCCAAAGTGAGCATACTTAGAATATTTTAAAGTAAAATAGACAGAATATTGTAGCACTAAGCCTGGCATAGTGTCCTGTGCCTGTAGCCCTAGCTACTCGTGAGGATCACTTGAGCCCAGTAGTTGGAGACCAACCTGAGCAACATAGCGAGACTCCTCTTTCTAAAAAATTAAATAAAAAATTCTGCAAGACCCCTCTTTCTAAAAAATTAAATTAAAAAAAATTTCTAGCACTAGCTTCAGTGATTGCTTAACCTCATCATGAACTTCGTTATCCTTGTAAAACAACCCAAATCTTGGGACATCTGAAAAGTTAGCACAAACGTCATAGTTTACCCGAGGGCATTAATTGTTTTTTTTTGTTTTTTTTTTTTTTTTTGAGACAGAGTCTTGCTTTGTCACCCAGGCTGTAGTGCAGTGGCAGGATCTTGGCTCACTGCAACCTCCGCCTCCCAGGTTCAAGCGATTCTCCTGCCTCAGCCTCCTGAGTAGCTTGGATTACAGGCGCCCGCCACCATGCCCAGCTAATTTTTGTATTTTTAGTAGAGACGGGGTTTTCGCCATGTTGGCCAGGCTGGTCTTGAACTCCCGATCTCAGGTGATCCACCGGCCTCGGCCTCCCAATGTGCTGGGATTACGGGCGTGAGCCACCGCGTCCGGCCATTAATTCATTTTTTAAAAACAAATTTGTGACACCCTGAGGCATCTCTCTCTCTCTCTCTCTCTCTCTCTCTCTCTCTCTGTCTCTCTCTCCCGCCCCTCCCCCCCACCACCCCACTGCCTCCATTTCCCTCCCCTCCCCTCTCCTCCCTTCTTTGTCCAAAAAAAGGAAAAAATGGGCCACTAACAAGCTGAAAAGCTTCTAATTAGATCAGTCGCATTTAAGGAGGTAGTTACAGTTAATATGTGGCTAAAACTTGTGCATTTTTCATTGCTCTTTCTTTGAATTTCTCTCTTTCTGTTGGTAGAATGGGAGAAGCCCACGCCTGGTGTCCACCTTGATTTTCCTGAGTCCGTGATTGTAGTTGTACCTTGCGTTTCTCACTAGCTGCCTGGGAATAGGAAATGGTTACCATTGGGGGGCTTATTAGATCTGGAAAGCGAAAAAAGGTTTTAAAGTCTTTTTCTGCTTTAAAAAAAATCATCTTAATAAGAAAGTAAAAGTAGTAAAAAGTTTCCTGTGTTACTTGGCTTGTTAGGACTTCACTGGTTGCTCTGCATCCATTTAAGGAGGACTAGGTTTGTTTCTGCTTTGCTCTAACAACCTCTCACTTAAGTTTTTATTTTAAAAATATGATTAGTGGGCCGGGTGCAGTGGCTCACGCCTGTAATCCTAATACTTTAGGAGGCTGAGGCAGGTGGATCACCGGAAGTCACAAGTTCAAGACCAGCCTGGTTAACATGGTGAAACCTCGTCTCTACTTAAAAAAAATACAAAAATTAGCTGGCCATGGTGGCGGGCGCCTGTAGTCCCAGCTACTCGGGAGGCTGAGGCAGGAGAATCAGTTGAACCCGGGAGGCAGAGGTTGCAGTGAGCCGAGATCGTGCCATTGCACTCCAACCTGGGCAACAGAGCGAGACTCTGTCTCAAGAAGAATCATATATATATATGATTAGTGGCCGGTTGCAGTGGCTCATGCCTATCATCCCAACACTTCAGGATGCCGCGGCAGGAGGATAGCTTGAGCTGAGGAGTTCCAGACCAGCCTGGGAAGCATGGCGAAACATGTCTCTACAAAAATTAGCCAGGGATGGTGACTTGCGTGCCTGTACTCAAGAGGATCGCTTGAGCCCAGAACGTCGAGGCTGCAGTGAGCCGTGTTTGTGCCACTGCACTCCAGCCTGGGTGACAAAGCAAGTCCCTGTCGAAAAAAAAATAAAAAAATAGTTAAAGGACAGGCAAGCTCTTTTTCTGACTCTACCCAATAAAAAATGTATAGCGTTTTTCACTGACCTTGTCTTTTGAAAATGTCACTTAAAAATCATAGTTTCAGTACTGCTGTCGAAAAATCTGGGGCACAAGCTGCATTGTTTCATGACACTGCAAATTGTATTGTTATTTTCTGCATTATCAAATTTAAATTTGAACATCAGGTGACATCGGATAATAAGGCCTAAAAACGAAAACTACTCATTCATATTTCATGCTTGACCACCCAAGCTCTCACTTTCTCATTAATATTAATAATTTAAAGGAAAATTTTCTTCAAAGCAAGCTATTTGAGTTAACATACGTTAGCCTTGTTAACTACAAAATGCTTCCATATTCACTTCATAGCTTCAGAGGCAAAATATACCCAAGGTGATGTGAATTTGCATAGTGCTTTGAGAACGTTAATAAACAACCATATATTTAATCAGTAGTCATGTTTTAAGATGCAGGGTTTACACAGTAAACAAATCTACGAAGAAAAATACTAGTTTATTTCTTTCCCCCAAAAGTCTCAATTTGCGTAGGTAAATTTCAACAGAGTTTTATTTATCTCATTCTTGGAAATTCAGGCAAATTAATAGTTTTGTTCTGTTTAGGTTGATGGCTAATTACTTCTTAGACTGCTGCTTTAAAAAAAAGATATATATACAAACACATTTCTTTAAACTGGGTTTTGTTTGTTTGTTTGTTTGTTTTTTGAGACAGGGTCTGGCTTCATAACCCAGGCTGGAGTGCAGTGGCATGGTCTCTGCTCACTGCTACCTCTGCCTTCTGGGCTCAGGTTACCTGCCCACTTAAGCCTCCCGAGTAGCTGGGACAACAGGCACACACCACCACACCAGGCTAACTCTTGTATTTTTTTTTTTAGGTGGGGTTTCACTATGTTGCCCAGGGGCTCAAGTGATCCACTGGCCTCGGCCTCCGTAAGAGCTGAGATTACAGGCATGAGCTACTGCACCTGGCAGTATTTTAAAAGATAGTGACATGATATAAAAGCAGAAAACAGGAAGTCAAAAAAGGATGGGAGCAGTAAATACACAGTGAATGACTTCCTTCCCCACACCTAAACCTTGGGATATTTACATTTAAGAAAGTCTGCCAACTTACAATTGCTGAAGAATTGCAGTTTGACTAATTAACCGCAGTGAGGATGCTTGGTGGTCATATATGACTCCCAGCTTTTTTTCCCAGAGTCCCTAGTTTCCTAACGCCTCTTCTATTTGGTTAATATGATTGCTGCTGGTACTGTTTAATTCATATTCATTTTAAAGAGCCTTGCATTATGCAGTGCACAGGGGTATCATTTATAATCATTAAATATTGCATGCACTAGAATGTTTCCTTACTGGCAGCGCTCAAGAGTAAGGAAGGGTTGTTTTTTTTTTTTTGCCTATAGCATCTTTCCCCCAGCAGCTATAACCCAGATATCTGCTATCTTCCCTTCTTCGAGCTCTCTCCAGTGAGCAATGAAAACTTTATTGAAGATTTCATAGAAGAGGTGGAGTGGAGGATTTACATGATACATCCTATGGCAGATGCTTTAAAATCCTGTCTTAGCATTTCTGTTCTCAGGATCCTCCTCTGCTGTGCCAAACCCACTGGTCTGTCTTCCCACAGACAAGTGCTCTGTCCTCCCACCGGCTAGTACCCAGCCTCTCTAGTTCCACTCTCCTTTCTCTATTTCTGTTAGCCTCCATGATGGCTGTGGCTGTCTTATTTCTCTTTATGTCTAGCACAAAATTGATATTCAGTGAATACTTGTTGAATGTGTGAATGAATTCTCCCTCTCCTGCCAATGTCAAAGTTATCTCCTCCCCAATTGGCTTCAGCAACTTCCCTCAAATATTATACAAGTGCTCAGGCAAACAGAAAGCCCACAGTGATCAAGGCCACTGTTCTGACCAGCAGAATTGGGGGACTGACTTTGTTCTTGAATTCACCCCCTCCCCTAATGGCTTAATAATAGTAATAATAATATTTAGCACTTTCTAACTGTTTATATGTGCCAGGAACTCTCAAGTCCTTTACATGTATTAAGTCATATAATCCTACTAACAAGCCTCCAAGGTAGGTTACTGTTATTATCACCCGCATTTTATACATGAAAAACTGAGACCAAAGAAGTTTAGAACTTCCCAAGATTTCACAGCCATTAAGTGGAAGAGCCATCATTCAAAACCAGGAAATCTAACGTCAGAGTCTATGTTATTAACCATATATTTGCTAACCCAAATATTTCTTCTAAACCAAACAGTGATCTCCCCAAGAAAGCTTCGGTGATGAATAGAAATGTTTGTATCATTATATATTATAGTTGGAGCAAAGGGGGGTAAAGGGGGTACCAACCTGGAGAAACTTCCTAGGATGCCCTGCTTAGCTGCTTTTCTCTATCCATGGTCAATATTTATTGAGTGCCAACCATGTGCTAAGCATAAGGCATGCAGAAGTTAAGTAAAAAGACAGGATCCTTGCCTTTAGGCCTACATTCTAGCTGGCAATCCAATTACTTGGTGAACAAGTAATTCCAGAGTAATAAAAGTCAGGTTTTCAGAACCCATATGGAATCCTAAACTGGCTTGAGAAATCAAAAAGACTTCCCTGAGGGGCTGATTTCTAAGCTGATGCCTAAAGGGTTAGTAGCCAGCCACAAAAGCAGAAGTGTGTCCCACATGCTCAGTGGCCTACAGTGTGGCTGTAGTGCAGCAAGGTTGAGACACTGGCGAGAAATGAGGTGGAAAAGTAAGTTGCAGCCAGGCTGTGGAAGGAGTCCTTGAGGGAAATTGACCAAGGAGAAGAGGAAATCACACGGCAGAGCCAGGCAAAACAGTAAGTAATAAGCACTCGTGCAGGTATTGCAAGATTCAAATAGAGTTGAGTGGGGTTTTCCTTGAGGTGGTTGTTCCAGGTGGGGCACACATTTGAGGCTAGCCATGGCCCAAACTAGCACTGGGCCAGACAGGGTTGCTCCTTCTAACCCTGGGACACC
Organism: Homo sapiens; assembly: GCF_000001405.40. Taxonomy (NCBI): domain Eukaryota; kingdom Metazoa; phylum Chordata; class Mammalia; order Primates; family Hominidae; genus Homo; species Homo sapiens. The sequence continues at coordinate 53,453,896 of NC_000001.11, read as the reverse complement.
ATTAACAGATTCATCTGACCTCTCCTAGGAATCTTAGAGAAGCGAGGCACAAAATAGTAATGGATGGAAGACAAAGGAGTGAGAGAAAAGAAGAGCATGAGGCAGTCAAACAGACCAAAGCTGTTGGAGAGGCTGTGAAGATTAAGACTGGAACAAGCAATTCTGTGGAGCAAAGGAAAAGTACACCATCCTGGCGGAGAGGGCATGCTCCAAGTGCTACTCTTCAACCCAATAGTACTGACCTTTGTTCTGTCTTGTTTTTACTTGCTAATTGGATGAACAAACATTTTTTGACACCCACAGAAACTTTCTTCCCTCCCTTCCTTCCTTCTTCTTCTTTTTTTTTTTTTTTTTTTTTTTTTTTTGCAGCAGGGTCTCACTCTATTACCTAGGCTGGAGTGCAGTGGCGCGAGCATAGCTCACTACACCCTCAAACTCCCAGCTCAAGTAATCCTCCCGCCTTGGCCTCCCAAAGTGCTGGGATTATAGGCATGAGCCACTGTGCTCAGCCCACAGAAACTTTCATAATATGTATATGTAGCTGATTACATGTATTTTTGATAGTACTATCAAATTTCTATAAATTTCAATTTTTTTTTTCTGAAAATACGAGAGGCACACGTCCCTATAAACTACATTGCTAATAGGGAATAATATAACCTTTAATATCTCTGTCCTGTGGTAAAATGCAAACTCAATTTAACACAAGAGGCATGAATTGAATGCCTACCATATACAAGGTACTGTTCTCTGGTAAAAGCAGTCAAAAAGAGCAAAGGAAAAAGAAAATTAAATTGAATCTTCTTTTTTCTGTGTATGTTCCTTGTCTAATTTCTTAGAAAACAGTAACTATTTATCGAAAAACAAAAAACCAGCATCTTTTTCCTGAGTTATGCTTCTATGAGAAAGGCAAACAGATATCAATAATTTATCTTTCGAGTAACCTTTCTAAACATTTTATGTCAGAGAGTCAGTACAAGTTCGGTCCATTTTGTAACTGAAAACAGATGGCAAGTAATACTATAAAGACAGGCAAGCTGGGTGAGAACATGATCATTAGTTATTAGCTGTGTTAACCTTAGCTAAATTATTTAACTTCTTTGAGCCTCAGTTGCAATAGTAATATTTGTAAAACGTGTTGCAAATCCCAAAGTGTGGCACAATATCCCATTTAGTGATATTGTTATTTAATGAATGCTTACAACTTTGCAGACATGGCCTCATTTAAACCACAGAACAACATGTATAAGGTAGGTAATTTTATTGTGTCCATTTGACAAATAACATTGAAGCTTAAAGTTCAGAAATATTCTTACCCAAGGTACATAGGAAGTGACAGAAACACATGTGAATAGCCTCCAAGTCTGAACTCCTAAGTACTATGCCATATTGCCACCATTTAGTTATTTCCTTTACTTTAACTACAAGGTGAGATGCCTGACTCTTGTAGGATTGATGAGATAATACATTTGAATAGCCCAGCACAGGTCTGGTATCTGGCACATGGTTAGCATGCATTACATAGTATCAAGGAGGAAGAAGGGACAAAGGGAAGGGGGGTGAGAGATAAGTAGTATTTCTGACTGACTCCAAGCCACCTCCAATCACAGGATTTGATTTAGCTACACAGTGGCATCAGGCTCTCCAAGCATACATTAAACACCAGCTGTCCAATACTATACCTATTATTTACTGTGGCTATTGAGCACTTAAAATGTGCCCAGTTAAATTTAAGATGTTCTGAAAGTATAAAATACACACCAGATTTTAATGACATAGTATGAAGAAAAGAATGCAAAATATCTCAATAATTTTATATATATTATATATTGAAATAATATTTTGGATATATTGAAGTAATATTTTGGATATATTGAATTAAATAATATTTTGATGTGGCTTTTTACTCTTTTAATGTTGCTACCAGAAAATCTTAAATTATATGTATGATCTTTCATTATATTTCTATTGGGCAGCAGTGCACAAGAGATTTGTGTGCTCAGTCCTTCTACTTCTGAAGACCAAGTTTTCCACAGTAGCTTATGTTCAAGGTGTTACATCATCTTCAGGTAGAGTGTACCACGTTCATACACCCCTCCATCATGGTGGTTAGATAACCTTCACTCGCATGAATCTCTGCTCTTTACCATTTAGGGCCTTTTTAATGGGATCAAAACACTGTCTCATGCTTCAGAACTGGAAATATTACTATTAGAAAATGCCAGCTAGAAGAGTCTAATAAAACTCCAGTTTGCATTTTGAATCTTCAAACATATGATGTTATTTTTATGGGAATATTTTCCTATTTCTCTTGTTAGGTATAAATTACTAGTAAAATACTGTGTAAACTAGAAAAGAAAGAAGGGTGTCATTATTTACTAAGGTTACAGCATGCCTGCAATATAGAATCCATCAGTTTTGCCTAAAAGCTCAACCAGAGGGCACAGGTTGATTATGTACATGTCGCTTGATAAATGTAGTCCCGTGGACATTTTATATTGTAAGAATTCTGGAAAATTAGTTTTTAAAGTATTTGATTAATACCCTTCTTCTCCCTTAGAACCTACCCCAGGTAAACAATTACTACCACTAGGAGTAGTAATTTTGCTTTGCACAAATAATTCCTTAAACAAAAAAAGGCATGAAGATTTGTTATGAACAGTTTTTTTCCTAAGCATATAGAGATTATTACCTCCTACACATTTTCTTTAAACATAGTTAAACTTACTTGGCCTAATCAGTTTGGGGATTGTTGCTTTTTCCTCTTTAACTTGCCAGATAAATCAGAAATATTTATTTTAAGAGACAGTTTAAGGAACTCTATCATTCCCAATCTGTCAGAGTTTTACAAATAAATCTCAGTTGAATGTCTATCATTGTTTCCAATCTGGTCAAGAAAAAAGAAAAAAAAGTATACAATTCATCAGAATAATTAATTATCTGGGGTTGAATAATTCTAAGAATAAACATTTGGCCCCCTCGCACTTCATAAACGCCCTGGAGTGAGAAGGATTATACATTAATGTACAAGATGTAAAAGGGTCCAGATACACCCTTAACATTATTGCAAGCATGTGGGACACATTTAGGTAAGTTAAAACCAAGTGTGGGTTTTGAGTTTGGCCAACTTTTTTTTTTTTTTTTTTTAATTATACTTTAAGTTTTAGGGTACATGTGCACATTGTGCAGGTTAGTTACATATGTATACATGTGCCATGCTGGTGCGCTGCACCCACTAACTCGTCATCTAGCATTAGGTATATCTCCCAATGCTATCCCTCCCCCCTCCCCCCACCCCACCACAGTCCCCAGAGTGTGATATTCCCCTTCCTGTGTCCGAGTTTGGCCATCTTTCATCAGTGGCTTACTAAAGCTTTATTCCTTTGGTGTGAGGATAGTGGGGTGCAGAGAAGTGGGTAGGAAGAATGGAATAGTGGCAACAGTGCCCCCTGCTGCCCGATGGCCACCCCCCTTCATGGAAACTTGAGGTTTCAGGGATTTTTAGAGACATGGTACCCCAGAGAATAATGAAACTCCTCTTAAGGAAGTCAGGAAGGAACTAACATATATAAAGGTTTTACAGCATTGCAAGCATTGTTGTATCATTTAATAATATGAAGCTTATTACAAATTTAGGAAAGAATATGATGTATTTCATAGATGAAGAAACTGAGGTTCAAGAATATAAGACAAACTTTACAAATTTCATAGCTAGAAGTGGAATAGTCCAGACTGTGGATCAGGTATGCCTGGTGCCAAAGCCTGTGCTTATTATAGTGCAGCACACTGCCCATAGGTGGAAGCCAAGGACATAGCCCAGACTCCTCAGGTATGGTGACCAAGTGTCCTGATTTGCCTGACACTGAAAGAGTTTTAGGGACACGTGATTTTTAGTGGTAAAACCTCCCTGTTTTGTCCAGGAAAAGCTGGGACAAGTTGGCCACTATAGCTGGAATTCAACGGAATAAAGCACCAGGCTGGAAGGGTTTATTTGGAAGAGGAGGAAGGCTGCCTGGTTCTCTGTCCTGTCCTGCTCTGAGACAGCCACAGGTGAACAATCTCTGTCCTGCTTTCATGCGCATCCGTGTGAAGAGACCAACAAACAGGCTTTGTGTGAGCAATAAAAGCTTTTAATCACCTGGGTGCAGGCGGGCTGAGTCCGAAAAGAGAGTCAGCGAAGGGAGATAAGGGTGGGGCCGTTTTATAGGATTTGGGTAGATAAAGGAAAATTACAGTCAAAGGGGGGTTGTTCTCTGGCGGGCAGAGTGGGGGTCACAAGGTGCTCAGTAGGGGAGCTTTTGAGCCAGGATGAGCCAGGAGAAGGAATTTCACAAGACAGTGTCATCAGTTAAGGCAGGAACAGGCCATTTTCACTTCTTTTGTGGTGGAATGTCATCAGTTAAGGCAGGAACCGGCCATCTGGATGTGTACGTGCAGGTCACAGGGGATATGATGGCTTAGCTTGGGCTCAGAGACCTGACACCTGCTTATTTTATGCCTTGACACATCTTGGGGCATTGTCAAAGAAGTTCACACCTCTGCCAGTTATGATTTCTTCAATTCCTGTCCCAAATCATCAGAGTCAGTAGGAATTTAGTTAACCGAATCATCCACTTGAGTGGAGGAGAAAGAGCAGAGACTGGCATCACAGAAACATGAGTTCTGAGAGGATTGAATGGGGCCAGAAAATGGGGGTGAGTAACAGAACTGACATTTGTGGAATGCTTATTAACGTACAGGGTACTGAGCCACATACTTTATGCACAACTTCTCACACATTCGTGCACATTGTCTCTCCTATTGCAACCCTAAAAGATAAACAGTAGTTATAATGAACTCAAATTACAGATTTACAAAAGAAAAATAAGCTCAGAAAGAGGATACATAACTTGTCTAAGTTCACACAGCTAGAAAAAAAATGGAACTCAAAATCTGTTTCAGCCCAAAGTTGTGACACTTTCTCTACTATATCATAGTGTCTGACTGTGATATTGTGATATAATAAGAAATATATATCTGGTCTTTGTCCTGGTTCCTGGCTCAGAGTCCCTAAAACCCTTGTAATTTCCTGAGTGATAGGGGTGATAGGAGCATCATTTGTTATGATATTTGCCCTTTATCCTCAGTTCCTGACAGGAGCTTCTAAGACCCTTGGAATCTCTGGAATGATAACAGTGTCTTTTTATATGCTAATGATGTGATTGGTGGCTGGGGTCCCCTAGATACCTTCAGGATGGGGGCTGCTCACCAGGAAGACCAAGGCATGATTAGACAATTAGAACTTTCAGCTCCCACCCCCACCTCTGGGGAGGGGAGAGGGACTGGAGATGGAGTTAATCACCAATAGCCAATGATTTAACTATGCCCAAGTAATGAAACCTCCATGAAACATTTAAAGTACAGGGCTCTGAGAGCTTCCAGATTAGTGAACACATTGACATGCTGGGAGGCTAGCAGGCTCTGGGAGGGTATGGAAGCTCCGCGCCCCTTTTCCCCTTAGTCTGTCCTATGCCTCTCTTCCATTTGGCTGTTCCTGAATTGTAGCTTTTATAATAAACCAGTTCATGTAAGTAAAGTGTTTTCCTGAGTTTTGTGAGCTATTCTAGCAAATTATTGAACATGAGGAGATTGTGGGAATCTCCAATGTATTGCCAGTAGGTCAGAAATAGGGGAGGCTCTGGACTTGCAATTGGTGTCTGAAGTGGGGACAGTCTTGTGGGACTAAGCCCTTAACCTGTGGGGTTTGACATTAATTCCAAGTAGTTAGTGTCCAAATTGGATTGAATTGTTGGATACCCAGTTGGTGTCCAGAGAGTTGGAGAACTGACTGGTGGTGTGGAAAAAATCCACACTTGGTGTCAGAAGTGAGTAGAAACATTCACTGTACTGACAAGTCATAGTGTTTAATAAATATTCAATTCCCCTTCCCATGAAGTTCCTAAGGACTTAAATTTATTAATTTCACTGTCCTCCATATACTTTAAAAATTATAAAAAGATTAAGGATGAGCTTGCTGTTAAGAAAAAAATGTATATAAAAAGAAAAACGTTAGACAAATTAAATTTAACAGAGTTGAATTGGGTAAAGAACAATTTGCAAATCAGGCAGCTCCAGAACCAGAATAGGTTGAGAGACTCCACCACTGGTGCATGGTCGAAGAAGATTTATGGACAGAAAAAGGAAAGCGATGTACAGAAAAGAGGTACAGAAATAGCCAGATTGGTTACAGTTCAGTGTTGCGTTATTTGAACATAGTTTGAACAGTTGGCTGACTTTGATTGGCTGAATCTCAGTGATTGGCACAAGGGTAGATTGCAGTCTGTTTGCACATCCAGTTAGGTTACAGTTCACTATGTACGGAGAAACTTTTAGGCCAAACTTAAAATATGTAAGGAGGCAGTTTTAGGCTAAATCTAACAAAATAAAATAACATATCAAAAACACTATTCTCCAAACTTGTAGGGTGAATATAGAGATTCACTATGGGGGGATGAAGTCATCTGATTACGTTCACTCTGAGAAAATAATTCAGGCAACTACTCTGGTTCATTTTTACAGGTAAGAGAGTTGGCCACTATCCCCTGATTACTGGATAGAACACCGTTCCATGAAATGATACATAAACAAAATAAGCAGTGTTCTTACAATCCTGTCAGAAGTATTTCCTATACAGTTAAAAAAAAATGGCAATTTACCAGTCCAGATTACATACAAATGAAAGTCTGGCAAACACAAGGGAGGTGAATTAAGCAAAGAAAGTTTTCTGGCAGACATACTTTGTAACTGATTCTGTAAGATGACATGGATTGGTAGAGGAAAGTGGAGGGGCACACACAAAAACATGGACAACAGGAATAAGGACATCTTGCATGAATATATTATATATTTGTGTAACTGTAGTAGAGAAAGTATCAATGGGCCATGGGCCTAAGTATTTATGGCTGAAAATCAAATACCCTACATGCAAATTAAAATTTCATGAGAAGGAAGTGAGTCAAAATGATGTAGAGATCAAAGAATATCTCCCAGATACCTGAACAAATAGGGGTTCTGTTGCTAAAGAGTAGACAACAGTGTCTGCCACTCTGTATTCATGAAATGGGAAGAACATCTATCTTGTATGCTTGTTGTAGGATTACAGATGTTTATAGCAACTGGCAAAGAGTAGATACCAAATAAGTGTTTGCTATTGTTTTATCTAAGTGCTCTATGATTATGTTTTAGAGCTTTTGGAAATTCTGTTTGGGGACAATGTGGGATATTAGCTCTGCTTTGCTATACATTTAAAATGTGCTGGCACATAATAGGCACTCAATAAAAATCTGTTGAATGGATGAATAAAGGAATACGTTTTCACTCTTTTCTCTCTAACAAATAAAAGAAACACAAGTCTTTATTCGGTCTTCTGGAAAGGAAAGGTCTACTTAACTCATCAATTGAAGTTTGCAGAAAGAACACAGTAAAAGTATAATGATGATTTCAAGACAGAAATGTTGCCCAACATCATGTAACAACCAAGGAAATAATAATGGTAGTTGTGTGCTCTGTAATGGTGAAATATTCTCGTAGGCTACTTTCAGTTGTTACTGACTTTATGGCTGTGTTTTAGTAAAGTTATTTGCTATGGCTTGGATATTTGACCTCTCCAAACCTCATGTTGAAATTTGATACCAAATGTTGGAGGTGGGGCCTAATGAGAGGCATTTGAGTTACGGGGTGAGTGGCTCCTGAATGAGGGGGTGCAGTCCTCACAGTAGCAAGTGAGTTCCATGAGTTCCTGAGAAAGCCTGTTGTTTAAAAGAGCCCAGCACCTCCCTCCCCTCTTTTTTGCCTTCCTCCCCATCTTCTCCCCATCTCCTGTTGCCTTCCACCATGAATGGAAGCAGCTTGAGGCCCTCACTAGAAGCAGATGTTGGTGCCATGCTTCCTGTACAGCCTGCAGAACCACAAGCCAAATAAACCTCTTTTTTTTTTATAAATTACCTAGGTATTCCTTTATAACAACACTAATGAACTGAGACATTACTGAACTAAGAATTGTCTAAGAAAAGTTTTGTCCTGACAATTTCTTGATTGTTTTCTTTAACTTGTACAAATTCATTGTTATAAACAATAGTTTAAGGCCAAGTGTAGTGGCTCATTCCTATAATCCCAGCACTTTGGGAGGCCAAGGAGGGCAGGTCAGTTGAGTACAGGAGTTTGAGACCAGCCTGGGCAATACAGTGAGACCCTTGTCTCTATAAACAATTTTTTAAAATTAGCTGGGCATGGTGGCATGTGCATGTAGTCCCAGCTGCTTGGGAGGCTGCGGTGGGAGGATTGCTCAAGCCTCGGGAGGTTGAGGCTGCATTGAGCCATGATCACGTCACTGCATGCCAGCCTGGGTGACACAGTAGACCCTGTCTCAAAAATATATATATATATTTTAGTGGTACAGTGTAGGGTCCAGCCCTACAGGGCCTGTGGGTTTTTCTCTTTGTGTGCAGAGATGAGAGATTGTAGAAATAAAGACACAAGACAAAGAGATAGAAGAAAAGACAGCTGGGCCCAGGGGACCACTACCACCAAGGCACGGAGACTGGTAGTGGCCCTGAATGCCTGGCCATGCTGTTATTTATTGTATACAAGGCAAGAGGGCAGGGTAAGGAGTGTGAGTCGTCTCCAATGATAGGTAAGGTCATGCAAGTCACGTGTCCACCGGACAGGGGGCCCTTCCCTATTTGGTAGCCGAGGCGGAGAGAGAGAGAGGATAGCTTACATCATTATTTCTTCTATGTATTTCTTGGAGAGATCAAAGACTTTAATACTTTCACTATTTCTGCTACTGCTACCTAGAAGGTGGAGCCAAGTGTACAGGGTGGAACATGAAGGTGGACCAGGAGCATGACCACTGAAGCACAGGATCACCGGGAGACGTTTAGGCCTCCAGATGCCTGCAGGCGGGCCTGACTGATGTCAGGCCTTCCACAAGAGGTGGTGGAGCAGAGTCTTCTCTAACTCCCCCGGGGAAAGGGAGACTCCCTTCCCCGGTCTGCTAAGTAACGGGTGCCTTCCCAGGCACTGGCGCTACCACTAGACCAAGGTCTGCTAAGTAATGGGCGCCTTCCCAGGCACTGGTGTTACCACTAGACCAAGGAGCCCTCTAGTGGCCCTGTCCGGGTGTAACAGAGGGCTCACACTCTTGTCTTCTGGTCACCTCACCGTGTCCCTTCAGCTCCTATCTCTGTATGGCCTGTTTTTTTCTAGGTTATAATTGTAGAACAAAGATTATTATAATATTGGAATAAATAGTAATGCTACAAACTAATGATTAATAATATTCATATATAACCACATCTATAATCTATTTCTAGTAAAACTATTCTTATTATATATATTTTCTTTATTACACTGGAACAGCTTGTGCCTTCGGTCTCTTGCCTCGGCACCTGGGTGGCTAGCCGCCCACAGTACAGAACAGGTATCCGATAGAAATGAGATCAATTTGATATAACCTCTGGTTTCATAAAGTGAACAGTGGTATATGTTAGGAAAACATCCAAGTTGTACCTTTAGGAAATGGAGGCCTAAGGGTTCAGTAAATGTAGCTGCTGTTATTATTACTCTAGCCCTCTTTACTCCTTATTTTCTCTAAACTCCATTTCTGAAGAGTCCAGCATTTCCCGAAATATGCTCCATGAAAGACTACGTCTATGAATAGTTATGTCTATGAATAGCAATGTGAATAGGTATGATATAAAAAAGGGGTTCCGGGCTGGGCGCACTGGCTCATGACTATAATCCCAGCACTTTGGGAGGCTGAGGTACCAGGATTGCCTGAGCTCAGGAGTTCCCAACCAGCCTGGGCAACACGGTGAAACCCCATCTATACTAAAATACAGAAAATTACCCAGGCATGGTGGCGTGTGCCTGTAGTCCCAGCTACTCGGAAGGCTGAGGCAGGAGAATTGCTTGAACCCGGGAGGCAGAGGTTGCAGTGAGCCGAGATTGCACCACTGCACTCTGGCCTGAGTGACAGAGTGAGACTCCGTCTCAAAAAAAAAAAAAAAAAAAAAAAGGTGGGGGTGGGGGTAGTGCTTCTGGCCGGGCGCGGTGGCTCACACCTGTAATTCCAGCACTTTGGGAGGCCAAGGCAGGTGGATCACCTGAGGTCAGGAGTTCGAGACCAGCCTGGCCAACATGGTGAAACCCTGTCTCTACTAAAAATACAAAAATTAGCCAGGCACGGTGGCACACACCTGTAGTCCCAGCTACTCGGGAGGCTGAGGCAGGAGAATTGCTTGAACCTGGGAGGTGGAGGTCACAGTGAGCTGAGATGAAACCACTGCACTCCAGCCTGGGCGACAGAGTGATACTCCATCTCAAAAAATAAAAAATAAATAAAATAAAAATGAAAAAGGGGTTCTGAAATCCAGGAAAATTAGGAAACTCTAAATTAACAAAGCCAGAGTTTTTTTTTAACTAAACAACTTCTCACTCTTCAATGTGTTTATGTGTCCTGTGAATCTCCAAGAGCAAGCTCTGACACAGCGTTTCTCAACCTTTTGTTCATTATAGGCCATCCCTCCCCCAGGGATTTAGACATTTTTACTAATCATCCTTTCCCTCCTTCCCACTCTCCCCCAAAATTAAATACTAAGGAATAAGATTTTACTGGGTGGGCCACAAACCATTGTACTAAGATTCTTTGCCCCCTAAGAACCATTTCACCCCCTTGGGGATGATATCACCTCAGTTGAGAAGCATGCCTTAGTGTGAAATGCTTCTTGTATTAATCTGCTCTCACATTGCTATAAAGAAATACCTGAGGCTGGGCACAGTGGTTCACACCTGTAATCCCAGTGCTTTGGGAGGCCAAGGCAGGTGGATCACTTGAGGTCAGGAGTTTGAGACCAGCCTGGCCAACATGGTGAAACCCCGTTTCTACTAAAAATACAAAAATTAGCTGAGTGTCGTGGCGGGCACCTGTAATCCAAGCTACTCAGGAGGCTGAGGCAGGAGAATCGCTTGAACCCGGGAGGCGGAGATTGCAGCGAGCCAAGATCACTCCATTGCACTCCAGCCTGGGCAACATGAGATAAGTGAGACTCTGTCAAAAAAAAAAAAAAAAAAAAAAAAAAAAAAAAGAAAAGAAATACCTGAGGCTAGGTAATTTATAAAGAAAAGAAGTTTAATTGGCTCACAGCTCCACAGGCTGTACAGGAAGCATAGCAGCATCTGCTTCTGCAGAGGCCTCAGGAAACTTACAATTATGGTGAAAGGCAAAGGGGATGCAGGAATATCTTGTGTGGCCAGAGCAGGAGGAAGAAAAGAGAGTGGGGAAGTGCTACACACTTAAACAATTAGATCTCACGATAACTCACTCACTATCATGAGACCAGCACCGAGGGGATGGTGCTAACTCATTCATGAGAACTCCACCCCCATGATTCAGTCACCTCCCACCAGGCCTCCAACACTGGGATTACAACACAACATGAGATTTGGTGGGGACACAGATCCAAAGCATATTACTTCTCAAACTCATTTGACTGCAGACCTTTTTCAAGTGGACCAGTATTCCCAGGAACATACTGTGGGAAGCCCTAATTTAGTTAGTATGGGATATTTTAACACTTCATTGTTCTGTCTGACTCAAGGATGGAGACTTCTCTTTAATACTTAAATTCCTGGTAGAAGACTATTACAAGGAGAGGAGTTTTAAAAAAGGATCGTTGATTGAGAAAACCTGTATCTGCCTCTGTTCTCCCCTCTAGCCATCATCCCCAGTTTGGGGTGAGAATTTTACACCAGTCAACTTTTAAAAAAAATTATGGTATAATATACATAAAGTGTATAATGTACTCTAATCTTAAGTGTACAGCTTGATAAATTTTCACAGGTGAATACTGAAGGAAACCAGAATTTGTCACATCAAAATATGCCTCTTTGACTTAATTTTTTTTTTTTTTTTTAGTTAAAGGCAATTAAGAAGCAGATGTAGGGAGTTCTCTGCCTTCTTTCTGTCTGACTAAAAGCAGGACAGAGAATTACAAAGACAAAAGGTCTTTCTATCCACCCACCCTGCTTTCCCGCCTGAAGACGGGATATAAATTCTTCTTTACAACCTTTATCAGCTTAGAGACAGTGCCAGAGGAATCTGAGCAGACTTTACTCCATTAGTTTCCCCATAAATTTACCTTCCTACATTTTCTCACCTCAAGGAGCCTGGGACTGCTTTTCTTTTGTCTTGTTACGTTTCTAAAATGTATTATATCATGCTATGTTAGACATGCTATATAAGCCAGATTCTTAAGCTACTGCTTAGAGTTACTTTTCTCCCACATTATGTGCACTGCATGTGTTAATAAACTTGCTTGTTTTTCTCTTGTTAATCTGTCTTTTGTTGCAGGAGTCTGTCCCAACTGTGAACTTACGAGGGTTGAGGGAATATTATTTTTTATTCTCTTTAATACACCCAGTTCAGGATATAAGCACTAAATTATTGATCAGAAAATCTGATCAATATGTATCATTACAGCTTGGCCCTGGTACCTGCTGCCATGTGCCTGGGAGGGATGCTGAGCTGTGGGCTGACACACATGTCCATCATGCCCCTGGACCTGGTCAAATGCCACTTGCGGGTGGATCAGAAAACCTTAAAAAAAATTCTTGACTTCCCATACTGTGGTGTGTAGTTTTCAAACTTTAGTGAAGCTTAGTGAAGAATCCACCTAGGAGTGTATTAAAATCACTTATTTCTACGCACAGAGATTCTCATTCAGACGGTCTAGAGTGTGAGGTGAGATTTTTAATAAAGCACTCCAGGTGATTCTGATGCAGGTGGTCTGCGGATCACACTTGTGAGAATGATAGGCCTGCCCTACAGGATAAAAGTCAAAGTCCTGAACAAGACATTAAGGCCTTCCCTAATTTGACCCAATTTTATTTTTCCAGACTCAACCCTTGCTGATTTCCATCATACTGAATTAAGCCCCTCTCCTCAGTAGGAAATGCACTTAGGTTTGTTTCCTTTCACCTGAAATTGCCTTTCTAGTCTTTTTTACGTGGCAAACTCCTACTTATCCTTCAAGACCCAGCTACACTTGTCACTTCCTCAGGGAAATCTTCTGAACCTCATCAGGCAAAATTAGTTGCTCCTTCATTGTTCATCTAGAACTTTATTCAAATTCTGTTATAGGCTGGGCACGGTGGCTCATGCCTGTAATCCCAACACTTTGGGAGGCCGAGGCAGGCGGATCGCTTGAGGTCAGGAGTTCGAGACCAGCCTGACCAACATGGTGAAACCCCCATCTCTACTAAAAGTACAGGAGGAAGAGGTTGCAGTGAGCTGAGATCACACCACTGCACTCCAGCCTGGGTGACAGAGTGAGATTCTGTCTCAAAAAACAAATTCTGTTATAATACTTATCAAAATACTGACTTTTTTCTTTTAAAAAAAATCTTATTTAGAAGTTAGCAGGAGTATGTCTAGTTCTTTGCTGAACCCCTAGCCCTGCACAGGGCCTAGCACAAAGTGGGTAAATGAATGGATGATGTATGCTACTGATTTATACCTGGAATCACTTAGTTCTTATTTTTCAGGCCACTGAAACTGTAAGCTTCCCAAAAGAAGAGGGCTTCTGACTCACTTTCGTATTCTCCAAAATCAGTAGTCAATGAAAAGAAAATACCTGATAAGTGAAAGTAATCAGCACCCCCCCCTAAATTCAGTGAGTGTCCCCATACTTCCTAGGCTCCCACTACAACCGTTTGTTGGGAGACAGGAGTGGTGTGTGAGCTGGGGGAAACTCACCTACCTACCAGGTGAGAAGGTTATGTAAGGCCGGAAGCCACTGGCTCTCTCTGCCCATTCGCACCGTGGAACGTCACTGCCATGGAGATGACCATTCCCCTAAACCGGCATAGTTGGGTGAGGACTCCAGAAAGGCCTCTCAGGAAGGCAACAGTGCATGGCGACTCTTTACCCCTTCGCCCGCCTCCTGATCTACGTACTCGCCTATTCCTGCGTTTACTCGTGTTTGTACATGTTGGTTTACTTTCTTCGCATTTTTGTAGAGGATTAGGCAGCCAAGCTGGACCAAAGTCACCAGGGTGGTGAAGGCCCGGCCCACCGCCGAAGGTGAGCTCTGGGACCACTGACCACTGACTGGCCTAGGCTCAGCGGGGCGGGGTTCCTGCAGCTACCAGGAGCCCATTGACCTGAAGGGGCGAAGGGGCGAAGGGGCGAAGGGGCGAAGACGCGAGAAGGGGCGAGAAGGGGCGAAGGGGCGCCGGGGCGAAGGGGCGGGGCGTGCTGGAGGGGAAGGGGCGGGGTGACACCGCCTACTTAAACCGTCCTTCACACCGCGGACTGCACAGGCACAGGCTGAAGCGCTGTGGTCCCGCAGGGATCCCCTCGCCTGGGCCGTTGTGTGGGCGGACTCGCGAGGGAGGTTCACGACGCTCTGCCCCGCCCCGCGGCCCCTGAGTGAGTGCGCCTGGAGGGGCGGAGGGCAGGGTGGGCCCGCACCCAGCGTGGCCATGGATGATCCCCTCGCGGCCGCCGAGCGCTGCAGGCGAGAAGCGTGGGCCAAGGCGTCAGCAGACCCTGGGCGGCGGCTGTGGAGGAGGCCAGCGTGGAGTACGGCTCGGCCCGGTACCTGCTGCTGTGCGGCCTGGGCGGGATGCTGAGCTGCGGCTGACACACACGGCCATCGTGTCCCTGCACCTGGTCAAGTGCCGCATGCAGGTGGACCCCGGCTGGTACAAGGGCGTCCTCAGCGGCTTCGGCGTGACGGTGCACAGCGACGGGCTGTGCGGCCTGGCTCGCGGCTGCGCTCAGACCTTCTTCGGCTACTCCCTGCAGGGCTTCTTCAAGTTCGGCCTTTACGAGGTCTTCAAGATCCGCTCCGCGGAGCTCCTGGGCCCAGAGAAAGCCTACGGGTGGAGAGCCGGCCTGTACCTTTTCGCCTGGGCCAGCGCCGAGTTCTTCCCCGATGTCTCGCTGGAGCCCATGGAGGCGGTCAAGGTCCGCGTGCAGACGCGACCGGGCTACGCCAGCACCCTGCGAGCCACGGCGTCCAGGATGTAGGGCGAGGAGGGCCTGTGGGCCTTCTACAAGGGCGTGGCGCCGCTGTGGCTGAGGCAGATCCCCTACACCATGATGAAGTTCGCCTGCTTCGAGCGCACGGTAGAGGACCTCTACAGGTATGCCGTGCCCAAGCCCCAGAGCCAGTGCACCAAGGCCAAGCAGCTGGGCATCACCTTCGTGGCGTCTTCTGCGCTGTCGTGTCCCATCCCGCCGACTCCGTGGTGTCTGTGCTGAACAAGGAGAAGGGCATCGCGGCCCTGGGCGTCCTCCGAAGACTGGGGTTCACGGGCGTGTGGAAGGGCGTCGTTGCGCGCATCGGCCTCTTTGCGCACATCCCCATGATCGGCACCCTCACGGCCCTGCAGTGGTTTATCTATGACCTGGTCAAGGTCTATTTCAAGCTGCCTCGCCCTCCCGTGGCTCAAGCGCCCGAACCCCTGAAGAAGAAAAAGTAGGTGTGAAGTTCTGAACCGCTCTAGCCACAGTGGGTCCACATTTCCGTCAAGTGGGGAATCGCGTGCAAACAATGCTAGTGTGTAAGATGTTAACATTTTGGGCAGAGGTTACTTAATATGCAGTCTGAGTTCTCTTTAAATGACTGCTTCTTTTTGGCAACTCAAGAGGATTGCAAACATTTCGTTTGGGGGTTTGAACCATTATCTTTGGGGAGTTGGCGTGGTTGCTTTAACTCAATAGCTTTTCAGCAATTAAAAGGAAAAAATACTTAACAGGAAGTAATGTTAGGTAGTTTAGGGTCTCTAGGTGTTATCTCCTTTGATTCGCCCTTTCTGTAGAGATTATCCAAGCATAACTACTGAATAGCCTGCAAATGAGGTTTTAAGGTCAGCACAACTATATGGATGGGGAAGAAAGTGAGATTCTGGTACACGGTGTTCATCTCAATAGAAATCGGGCACCTATTGAATAGATGAATGACTCATCGCATATTTCCTGTTCATGTCCATTACAGGTAAAAAATTATTAAAAGTTAAATTGTGACTTATACTGCCTGATAGCTTAGAATGTATTCACTGTTTTCAAAGAGACATGAGAAGATCTGCATTTTCTCCTTTTGCTTTGTCCCTTCTCTTCCTGATGTTGCTGATTAGAACATAGCTCTCTCCAGGAAGTGCTACAATTGGATCAATGTGGAAAGCCAGAAAGAGATGAAGGGCAGGCTCTGGGAATAAATATGTAAAGAAAAGCCTCTGTTCTCCAGAGATTTCTTTTGTATAACTCAGCTTTCAACAGCCATACATCCAAAGAAGACCATACCACCCTGACATAAAAAAAAAAAAAGGAAGAAAAAACCCAAAATCCTGCAAATTCCAACTACTGTCTGTTGAATATTAAAGAATGGTTTTGGTGACTTTGGAGGGAAAATCTCACTTTAAGTGTAATAAATACTCTTAACTTAATTTGGTAGATGTTTCAGTGATCTTTACAATGGTTGAGATTCATAAAATTTATTGAAATTATAAAGCATGTTTTTTGTTCTCTGTAGCCTTCACATCTCTGATTGGGGAAATTTTACAATCAGTGAAATTCTGTGAATTAGGGATGTTTGTAAAATATGAATAAGAAACAAACTTCAATAAGGCATTTGATATAACTTACCAAAGTGTAAAATGATTGCCTTAAAAACTTGTATTAAATTAGACTACAAACTTAGAATATGTTAATGTTTAAACTTTGTAATAGTAAACTCTTCAGTGGTTAACGGAAGTTTAAAAGTGTCTAGGTTTAAGTATGTCAGAACTGTCTTGAATAATAAAGAGATAAAAAAGTCGACTTTTGAATGAGATGGAATGAAATTTATTAATATTTAATGCTTCTACTTAGCATATTATTGGGAAGGATCATTAGCTATTGTTAAGACACTTCAGTTAAATACATTTCTGTCTATTGTCTTGTAAAATGTAGGAAGTTTATTTGGTAAACAATTTTTAAGTAAAGTACTTTTAGTAATATAATTTTGGAAATTGCTGCAAAAATCTGTGGATTTCAAGATAGTAAGAGACCACTTGTTCTGGTTTGTGGTATTTCATGATTGCTCTGTTGATAACACCAGATAATTTTTGTAATATACATGGTGTGTGTTTAGCGAAGTATAATCTAAGGAGAACCAGATGGCATGATTCTGGCAGTTATGAATATGGTCAAGAAGATGGGTTTATTGGCCAGGGAGGTGGCTCACACCTGTAATCCCAACAGCTTAGGAGGCCAAGGAGGGAGAATTGCTTGAGGCCAGGAGTTCAACCTGGGCAACACTGTGAAAATCCCTAACTACTTGGGAGATTGAGGTGGAAAGATCACTTGAGACCAGGAGTATGAGATTACAGGAGTTTGAGGGGAGGATCGTGCCACTGCACTCCAGCCTGGGTGAAGAGCAAAATAATTTACTTAGTTCGGGTCAGCAGTTTTCATATTCGGTTCCTGTACATTCTATTCCCCACTCCCCTCTTTTTTTTGGTGGCTTACAAATGTCTGTTTGAATAAATAGGGTAGGGATAGCTGATAATAGAGAATAAAGATAATTTAAGTAAAGATAACAAGAATTCATAATCATTAAGGTTTTTCCTAGCTATTATTTATTTGGAACAATTTAAAAATTTTATTCAGTGTTTTACCTTGCCCGTGTAGGAGACCAGAATATGCCACCCCAAAATATGAAAGATTGTTGAACAGAACAGAAGAAGCAAATGCAGGAAAGCTCTCTACCCTCTCCCTATTTGCCAAAGAGCAGGACATAGATTTACAAAGACAAAAAGTACCTTGCCCACCTTCCTGCGAGACAGAACAAACATTAACCACTGAAAACAACTTTAGACCCTTATAGGTGTGGAGATGATACTAGAGCAATCTGTATTAACAAGCTTTACTAACTAGCCTTTATGTGCCATTTATTGCCTTCCCCCAAGGTGCTGTCCCTAAAGGCTCAAAAGTCCTTTTCCTAAAATTTCTCTGAATATTTGCTGTTCTTTTTTTTTTTTTTTTTTTTTTTTTTTTGAGACAGGGTCTCTGTCACCCAGGTGGGAATGCAGTGGTGCAATCACAGCTTACTGCAACTTTGACCTCCCTGGTCTCAGGTGATTGAGCCTGAGCCCGCCTCAGCCTCCTGAGTAGCTGGGACTATAGACACATACCACCATGCACAGCTAGCGTTGTGTGTTGCGGGGAGGGGTTGGAGATGGGGTTTTTCCGTGTGTGTGTGTGTTGGTGGAGATGGGGTTTTTGCATGTTCCCATGTTCCCCAGGCTGGTCTCGAACTCCTAGGCTCAAGTGATCTGCTCATCTTGACCTCCCAAAGTGCTGGGATTACAGACGTGAGCCACCATGCCCGTCCTGCTGTTCTTTGTTGAAGATGCTATATAAACTGAAATTCAAAGCCACCTCTTTGAGAACTACTCATTCTCTATTCTCATGTATATGTGAAATATACATGTTAAGAAGCTTTTCTTTTTCTCTTGTTAATTTGTCTTTTGTAACAGGTTAACTCCAACTAAGAACCTATGGGGGTTATTCTTCCCTCACACCTATAATTGGCATTCTCTGTGAAATCATCCATATCTTATTAGAATAATAAAAGCCATAGTATACATATAGTATTGTTAGGCATTTCATATTCATTTTCTCATATAATCACTGTCATGCGCATCCGTGTGAAGAGACCACCAACAGGCTTTGGGTGAGAAATAAAGCTTTTTAATCACCTGGGTGCAGGTTGGCTGAGTCCGAAAAAGGAGTCAGCAAAGGGAGATAGGAGTGGGGCCGTTTTTTAGGATTTGGGTAGGTGGTGGAAAATTACAGTTAAAGGGGGTTGTTCTCTTGCGGGCAGGGGCGGGGGTCACAAGGTGCTCAGTGGGGAGCTCCGGAGACTCACTGTCCCGGAGAAGGAATGTCACAAGGTAATGTCATCAGTTAAGGCAGGAACTAGCCATTTTCACTTCTTTTGTGGTTCTTCAGTTGCCTCAGGCCATCTGGATGTATACATGCATGCTTGGGCTCAGAGGCCGGCCTGACATTCCTGTCCTCCACTGTAAGAGTTACCCAAGGCGTCTGTGATGGTCCAGGAGGCTTCCCAGGCAATCAATCGGGCAGCGTCAGTCTTCAGCCGCTAAGCTGAGAAGATCTGGAAAGGAGTCAGAGAGCCTTAGGCCACAGTTCCAGGGGCTGTGGGAGTGGCTGCTGGGAGAGCTGGACAGTCCAATTTCCAGTGGGGTCCCACACAGATGGGACACATCTTAGGAGGAATCCTGGGCTGCGGGCATTCCTTGGCCCAGTGGCCAGATTTCTGGCACTTGAAGCAAGATCCTGGGGGAGGAGGTCCTGGAGGAATGCCTGGCTGCTATGGTTTAGGTTTTTGAAGTTCTTGTGTGCTGGAAATGTGGCTGGGGTTTGTCTTACAGTGGAGGCAAGGAATTGCAACTCAGAAATACGTGGCCACTTGGCTGCCTCTATTATTGTACACCTTGAAGGCGAGGTTAATTAAGTCCTGTTGTGGGGTTTGAGGGCCAGAATCT
This sequence comes from Homo sapiens, assembly GCF_000001405.40. NCBI lineage: Eukaryota > Metazoa > Chordata > Mammalia > Primates > Hominidae > Homo > Homo sapiens. The sequence goes on along the minus strand of NC_000001.11, from coordinate 53,434,300 downwards.
TAATTTTTGGAGCTTTTTCTAATGTCAGGAGTGGATTGGGTAATAAAATGCATATTGAGAATAAGACGGCCTTCTGGCCCCTCTGTGTCTAGGGCAGTAAAGCGTCTAAGGGTTGTTGCCAAATGGGCCATGAACTGGGCTGGGTTTTTATACTTGATGAAAAAGAGCCTAAACGCTAACTGATTTGGGAGAGGTTGGCTAAAGAAAAAGGAGCATTAACCTTGACTATGCCTTCAGCTCCAGCCACTTCTCTAAGAGGAAATTGTTGGGCAGGTGGGGGAGGGCAAGTTGTGGAACAAAATTGTAAGCCAGACTGGGTATGAGGAGGGGAGGTGATAGAAGGATTACAGGGTGGGGGAGTGGAGGCTGAGGAAGAATTGGGACCTGGCTCGGCCTGGCGAGGAGCAGCCTGGGGTGGAGGGGAGAGGTTAGGTGGGTCTGTAGAAAAGGAAGATTCAAAGGACTCAGAGCTTGGGGTGGAGACTGAAGGAACAGACGGGAGAAAAACAAGAAAGATTTGGGACAGTCACATTGGGAGCAGAGACTAGGGAGGGACCAATGTATAAAAGAATGCCTGGATATCAGGCACCTCAGACCATTTGCCCATTTTTTGAAAAAAATTATCTAGATCTTGTAGGATGGAGAAAATCGAAAGTGCCATTTTCTGACTATGTGGAGCCATTACCAAGTTTGTATTGGGGCCAAGCAGTGTTGCAGAAGAAAATAAGACGCTTAGGTTTTAGATCAGGTGGGAGTTGAAGAGGTTTTAAGTTTTTTAGAACAAAGGCCAAGGGAGAAGAAGGAGGAATGGAGGGCAGAAGGTTGCCCATAGTAAAAGGGTAAGTTTAGAGAAAAGAGAGGGTAGAGACACAGAGGGCGGGGGGTGGTACTTGCCACCAAGGTGAAGGATCAAGGCAGGCATCCCCATGGTGATCAGACACCTCTGAAATGTGGGTGAATAATCAGGCAGGCGTCCCCGCAGTGATTAAACACCAAGGGAAGACTGTCTTCCCGAGTCTGTGACCAGCGCTGGAGTTTTGAGTTCACAGATAAAATGCATCTCCTCTGTCTCTACCAGAAAGGGGAAAAGGAACCAAAATTAAGGAAGGGAGAGATTGAAGGGTGGAGGGATAGTGAGAGAGGTTGGAGAAGGGAGTGAAACGACCGCTTACCCGATCTGAAATTGGTGAGATGTTCCTTGGGCTGGTTGGTCTGAGGACCTGAGGTCATAGGTAGATCTCCTCACCGAGTGAGGGCAAGGATGGGGGACTGGTCTCTCGAAGGAGTCCTCCTGTCCTGGGTCTTCAGCACAAAATGTCAAGTGCATCCGTGTGAAGAGAGTCCACCAACAGGATTTGTGTGAGCAATAAAGCTTTTTAATCACCTGGTGCAGGTGGGCTGAGTCTGAAAAAGGAGTCAGCCCGCCTGCACCCTGGTGATTAAAAAGCTTTATTGTTCACACAAAGCCTGTTGTGGACTCTCTTCACATGGACACGCTTGACAATCACAATTCTTGTTTCTCTATAAAACTAAGACTCAGATGCTAGATAACTTGCTCAAAGTCATGTAGCTAATGAGTGATATAGTCTGAATCAAAGTCCACATGTTCTTCATTACTCCAGCTCAGCACCTTGATAGAACCAATGACTATCATTTTCTTAAATTGTTTTTTATAGTACCTTGAAATTATTTCTTAAAAAAATTTCAGGCTGGGTGCAGTGGTGCCGGCTTGTAATCCCTGCACTTTGCAAGCCTGAGGCAGATAGATCACTGGAGCCCAGGAGTTTGAGACCATCTTGGGCAACATGGCAAAACCCTGTCTCTACCAAAAAAAAAAAAAAAAAAAAAAAAAATTAGCCAGGCATCGTGGTGCACGGCTGTAGTCCCAGTTACTCAGAAGGCTGAGGTGGCTGACGTGGGAGGATCCCCCATCTCAAAAAAAAAAATTCTATTTATATGTACTGTAAAGCTTTCCTCATTTTGTACCAATGAGGAGTTTGCAGTGTGTCTCAATTGTGGAAAACCTATGGCAAAATTGTCTAGAAATAAACTGCAAAATAGTCAATATTTAATTTAATATTTAAGTCATTTGCTCACCAGGTCAGTGCCTCAGTTCTAACTTGAAGGGACTGATCATAAATGCAGCACTTTTGCTTGTGTGTGTGTGTGTGTGTGTGTGTGTGGTATTGCAGCTTCAACGAGAGGCTTTATCACAATTTTTTCCTCTAATCTTAGTTCCTACAGCTAAGGAAGTGGTATCAGGCTATTTATCTTTTCCTCCAGGTGGTGATTAAAGTAGCTTTCTCAAGTATATGAAATTAATTTCATGATAGCTGTAATCTCATCCATTGATCTGTCCTTTGAGAAGTGAATAAAGGAAGTAGGTAAAATCTTGAAAAGCAAAGGTCATATTTACATGTTAATACCACATGATAAAGATGAGAAGGAATCAAAGCGTTAAGGTTATGAGTTCTTTTCCTTGCTGCACAAGTATGTCTTTAGAAAGTCTTTTGAGCCTTTGGAAGGCAAAAATAATTACCGAAGTCAGATCACATTTTGATAGGCAGCCATTCAATTATAGTATGCTTGTTTTTGTGTTCTTGAAGATCAATTATTTTTAAAATCATGAGCAAAGAACCACTTGAAAGGAAATGTAAATTTTAATATCACTTAGGAGACTTTGTCTTGGCTTCCTGAATTCTACTATTTGGGTGGATATGTAAATAGCGTAGGTATTAACGATGTGATTATGACCACATTTGTGTTTGTGTGTGTGTGTGTGTTTCAGTTAGTATATTTTGAGAGCTTCTGTGATATGGTATCCAAACTTTCAGCAGCATTGTGGTAATTCTGCGCATGCCCCAGTCTAAAACACTACCAGTCAATATCCACCATGTGCTAGGCAGAAAGGTTTTGTGATGAGCATAATACACGGACCCTTCCCTTGGGGATCTTACAGTTTAGTGGGAAAAATAAATTTTGTAGGGGCAAAGGGGGAAACTTCTTCACCCTCTGAAGATTCACTGAAAAATCAACTCATAAAAGGCAGATTAATAAGAGAAAAGGCATCCAATTTCTTAACATGTACATAGAGTACATCAGAATGATTACCCAGTATCCCAGTGGGGTGCAGAAGTTTTTATGCCATCTTGAGGTTACAGAAAGAATGGGGGCCTGGATTGTGGCAAATCAGGTTATGGCAGCATACACACACACACACACACACACACACACATACACACACACACACACAAAGGCTATGGGAGGAAAAGAAGAGAAGGCCTGACTAGCAAAGGTGGTCTTGTTATGTAGATGAAATTCCACAGGTAGTAGCCCTCAGAGAGAATAGATGGTGTTTCTTTCAGACCTTAAAGGTGTCAGACTCTTTTCCCTAGATCCAGACAAAGGAAAGCCTGGCTGCCTCAATGCAAATTCTCTACAGATGTAAATCTCCCCCACAAAAGACAGCTTTGCATGCCTACTTCTGTTTGCTGGCTCTCTGACAGCCATCTCAAAATATGGCAAAGAAATATATTTTGGGGTAAACTATTTTGATTTCCTTCAGTCCCCACGTTGAAACCTTAAAAAAAATTCACATATTAAAAGCTAAGCCAATAGCTTTGGAGAGATTTGGCTTAGAAGTTTTAGGTACAGATGGACAAAGGAGTAGAAAAACAAATTGGGATAAACAGAAAAGAGCAAATTTAAGTGTATCGTTCTATATCTTCTTGAATCAGTCTCAGCCCTGAGAATATATCAGTTTGGTTAAACAGTTGTGACCTATTCCAGGAGGTGGCATTGCAGATTGGCTCTGTCTGTATGTTGCTGGCAAACATCTTTAATACGAGGCATTTCTATGGAAACCGAAGAAAAACAAAGGTTAATGCCTGGAATAGTCTATAGACAAGCTTTTCAAGAGTCTCTGAAACATCTTCAGATTGCAGTGGCAACTTCGGATTGTAGTTCGAATCAGGTGTTTAAGTGAACTTTTTCAGTAGTCCATACTTCAGCAAGCATGAAATCTGTTTATATGTAAGTTGCTTTGATTTCTCCTGAAGTTTAAGTTGTCTAGCTTCAGTTTGCAGGGCCTTAAGAAAAGCACAGTTTCAATGATTTCTAATGATTCCAAGTCAGAAAAATGGAAAAAAAAATTTGAAAATGTTAGTTTGGAGACATATAGCCAGGAAGGAATTCAGAATTCAGTCCAAATTACAGGAAAATAATAAAAACTCAAGAACAATGGACAAAGCTAGAATCTAATAATATGTGTTTCATGCGTGTCTATGTGAAGAGACCACCAAACAGGCTTTGTGTGAGCAACGTGGCTGTTTATTTCACCTGGGTGCAGGCAGGCTGAGTCCGAAAAAGAGAGTCAGCAAAGTGTGGTGGATTATCATTAGTTCTTATAGGTTTTGGGATAGGTGGTGAAGTTAAGAGCAATGTTTTGCGGGCAGGGGTGGATCTCACAAAGTACATTCTCAAGGGTGGGGAGAATTACAAAGAACCTTCTTAAGGGTGGGGGAGATTACAAAGTACATTGATCAGTTAGGGTGGGGCATAAACAAATCACAATGGTGGAATGTCATCAGTTAAGGCTATTTTTACTTCTTTTGTGGATCTTCAGTTACTTCAGCCCATCTGGATGTATACGTGCAAGTCATAGGGGATGCGATGGCATGGCTTGGGCTCAGAGGCCTGACATTCCTGTCTTCTTATATTAATAAGAAAAATAAAACAAAATAGTGGTAAAGTGTTGGGGCGGCGAAAATTTTTGTGGGGTGGTATGGAGAGAGAATGGGCGATGTTTCTCAGGGCTGCTTCAAGCGGGATTAGGGGCGGCGTGGGAACCTAGAATGGGAGAGATTAAGCTGAAGGGAGATCTTGTGGTAAGGGGTGATATTGTGGGGATGTTAGAAGAAACATTTGTTGTATAGAATGATTGGTGATGGCCTGGATACGGTTTTGTATGAATTGAAAAACTAAATGGAATAAGAGAAGGAGAAAAACAGGTATAAAAGGTCTAAGAATTGGGAGAACCTAGGGCATCTGATTAGAGAGTGCCTAAGGAGATTCAGCATAGTCCTGCCAGCAAAGATTATTTATTTACTTCAAGAGTTAAGAGTGGCAGTTTGGGGATAGCACCAGGAGATATCAGCTGTGATGGCTTGGAGAAACAGTGTAAACCGGCAGTGTAAACAAGAGCAGGGCATGTATGAGTAGTTGAGAACGGTGAATAGGAGTATGACTAGAAAGAAGATAGTAGGGATGACAAGTTTTTTTTTGGGGGGGGGCACAGTCTAAGTTGGTCTGGTGTCTGGAATAAGACTGGGGCCTAATAAAAAGGAGCGTCTACACAGGAGCTTCAATGGGCTGTACCTTGTAGCATTCTGAGGACAGGTCTGACTTCTGAGAAGGGAAAGTGGTAAAAGTATTGTCCAGTCCTTTGTAAGTTGGTGGCTGAGCTTGGTGAGGTGTGTTTTTAAAAGACCATTAGTCTGTTCTACTTTTCTTGAAGACGGAGGACCGTAAGGGATATAAAGGTTTCACTGAATACTAAGAGCCTGAAAAAATGCTTGGCTGATTTGACTAATAAAGGCTGGTCTGTTATCAGACTGTATAGAGGTGGGAAGGCTAACCTGAGGAATTGTGTCTGACAGAAGGGAAGAAATGACTGCGGTGGCCTTCTCAGACCCTGTAGGAAAGGCCTCTACTTATCTAGTGAAAGTGTCTACTTAGACTAAGAGGTTTTTTAGTTATCTGACTCGGGCATGTTGAGTAAAGCTAATTTGCCAGTCCTGGGTGGGGGCAAATCTTCAAGTTTGATGTGTAGGGAAGGGAGGGGGCCTGAATAATCCCTGAGGAGTAGTAGAATAGCAGATGGAACACTGAGAAGTTATTTCTTTGAGGATAGATTTCCACGATGGAAAGGAAATGAGAGGTTCTAAGAGGCGGGCTAGTGGCTTGTACTATAGCATAGCCTGCCTTTGCTGGTGTGTGGCGATTAGGCCTGGTGGAACTGCCATCAATAAATCAAGCATGATCAGGGTGAGGAACAGGAAAAAAGGAAATATGGGGAAATGGGGTGAATGTCAGGTGGATCGGAGAGATACAGTCATGGGGGTCAGGTGTGGTATCAGGAATAATGTGGGAGGCCAGATTGAGGTCCGGGCCAGGAACAATGGTAATTGTGGGAGTTAACAAAGAGTGAGTACAGCTGAAGGAGCGGGGGAGCAGAAAGTATATGCATCAGGTATGAGGAAGAAAATAATTTTGGAAGTTATGAGAAATGTAGAGAGTGAGTTGAGCATAGTTTGTGATTTTTAGGGCCTCTAAAAGTATTAAAGCAGTGGCAGCCGCTGCACGCAGACATGAGGGCTAGGCTAAAACAGTAAAGTCAAGTTGTTTGGACAGAAAGGCTACAGGGGGCGGTCCTGGCTCTTGGGTAAGAATTCTGACTGCACTAACCATGCCTAGGAAGGAAAGGAGTTGTTGTTTTGTAAGGGATTGAGGTTTCGGAGATTAATCAGACACGATCAGCAGAGAGAGCATGTGTATTTTTATGAGAGTTATGCCGAGATAGGTAACAGATGAGGATGAAATTTGGGCTTGACTGAAGTAATGGGGGATGTCTGTGAAGCCTTGAGGCAGTACAGCCTAGGTAATTTGCTGAGCCTAATGGGTGTCAGGGTCAGTCCGAGTGAAAGCGAAGAGAGGCTGGGATGACGGGTGCAAAGGAATAGTAAAGAAAGCATGTTTGAGATCCAGAACAGAATAATGGGTTGTGGAGGGAGGTATTGAGGATAGGAGAGTAAATGGGTTTGGCACCACAGGGTGGATAGGCAAAACAATTTGGTTGATAAGGCATAGATCCTGAACTAACTTGTAAGGCTTGTCTGGTTTTAGGACAGGTAAAATGGGGGAATTGTAAGGAGAGTTTATAGGCTTTTAAAGGCCATGCTGTAGCAGGCGAGTGATAACAGGCTTTAATCCTTTCAAAGCATGCTGTGGGATGGGATATTGGCGTTTAGTGGGGTAAGGGTGATTAGGTTTTAATGAGATGGTAAGGGGTGCATGATCGGTCACCAAGGAGGGAGTAGAGGTATCTTATACTTGTGGGTTAAGGTGGGGGGATACAAGAGGAGGATGCAAAGGAGGCTTTGGATTGGAAAGAAGGGTGGCAATGAGATGTAGCTGTAATCCAGGAATAGTCAGGGAAGCAGATAATTTAGTTAAAGTGTCTCGGCCTAATAAGGGAACTGGGCAGGTGGGGATAACTAAAAGGGATTGCATAAAGGAGTATTGTCTAAGTTGTCACTAGAGTTGGGGAGTTTTAAGAGGTTTAGAAGCCTGGCTGTCAATACGCACAACAGCTATGGAGGCAAGGGAAACAGGCCCTTAAAAATAAGGTAATGTGGAGTGGGTAGCCTCCATATTAAGAAGAGGACGGACTTATCCTCCACTGTGAGAGTTACCTAAAGCTCGGCGTCCGTGATGGTCTACAGGGCTTCCGAGGCGATCGGGCAGTGTCAGTCTTCAGCTGTTAAGCTGAGAAGATCTGGGAAGGAGTCAGTCAGAGAGCCTTGGGCCAGAGTTCCAGGAGCTCTGGGAGTGGCTGTCAGGTGAGTTGAACAGTCCGATTTTCAGTGGGGTCCCACACAGATGGGACGCGGCTTAGGAGGAATCCTGGGCTGTGGGCATTCCTTGGCTCAGTGGCCAGATTTCTGGCACTTGTAGCAAACTCCTGGGGGAGGAGGTTCTAGAGGAACGCCTGGCCACTGCGGTTTAGGCGTTTGGAAGATCTTGTGTGCTGGAGATGTGGCTGGGGTTTGTCTCACAGTGGAGGCAAGGAATTGCAACTCAGAAATATGTTGCTACTTGGCTGCCTCTACTCTATTATTGTACACCTTGAAGGCGAGGTTAATTAAGTCCTGTTGTGGGGTTTGAGGGCCGGAATTTAATTTTTGGAGTTTTATTTAATGTCGGGAGCAGATTGGGTAAAAAATGAGTATTGAGAATAAGACGGCCTTTTGACTTTTTAGGGTCTAGGGCTGTAAAGTGTCTCAGGGTTGCTGCCAAACGAGTCATGAACTGGGCTGGGTTTTTATATTTGACGAAAAAGAGCCTAAACGCTATCTGATTTGGGATAAAGAAAAAGGAGCATTAACCTTGACTATGCCTTTAGCTCCAGCCACCTTTTTAAGAGTAAATTGCTGGGCAGGTGGGGGAGGGCCAGTCACGGAACGAAACTGTGAGCCAGATCGGGTGTGAGGAGGGGAGGTGATAAAAGGATTATAGGGTGGAGGAACGGAAGCTGAGAAAGAATTGGAACCTAGCTCGGCCTGGCGATGAGCAGCCTGGGGAGGAGGGGAAAGATCAGATGGGTCTGTAGAAAAGGAAGACTGGAAAGACTCAGCGACGCTTGGGGTTGGGACTGAGGGGACAGGCGGGAGGGAAAGAAGGAGGATTTGGGAGGAATCACATTGGGAACAGAGACTTGGGAGGGAATGAAGTGTGAAAAATGCCTGGATGTAAGGCACCTCAGACCATTTGGCCATTTTTCGACAAAAATTATTTAGGTCTTGTAGGGTGGAGAAATCAAAAGTGCCGTTTTCTGGCCATTTAGAGCCATTGTCAAGTTTGTATTGGGGCCAAGTGGTGTTGCAGAAGAAAATAAGGCGTTGAGGTTTTAGGTCAGTGTGAGTTGAAGAGGTTTTAAGTTCTTAAGAACACAGGCTAAGGGAGAAGAAGGAGGAATGGAGGGTGGAAGGTTGCCCATAGTGAAGTTGCAAGCCCAGAGAAAAGAGAGAGTAGAGACATGGAGGGAAGGGGTTCGGGGGTTCTTACCCTCCAGAAAAGCGGGAAAGGGGTCAGGGTGTGGAAATAAGGGATTGGGGCACAGAGATAAGAGGTCAGGGTGCGGAAATAAGGGATTGGGGGTTCTTGCCCCCTAGAAAAGCGGGACTTGCTGCTAAGGATGAAGGAGAAGGGGTTGAGGGGTACTTGCCCCTCCCCCAGAAACGCAGAGAAGGGGTAGAGACACGGAGAGAAGGGGTTCGGATACTTGCCCCTCCCCCAGAAAAGCGGGACTTGCCGCTAAGGGTGAAGGACCAAGGCAGGTGTCCCTGCGTGGTCTGACACCTCTGAAACGTGGGTAAATAATCAGAGAGGCGTCCCTGCAATGATTAAACACCAAGGGAAGGCTGCCTTCCTAGTCTGTGACTGGCGCCGGAGTTTTGGGTCCATGGATAAAACGTGTCTCCTTTGTCTCCGCCAGAAAATGAAAGCAATTGAAATTAAGAGAAGGGAGAGATTGAAGAGTGGAAAGGAGAAAGTGGTTGAGGGATAGTGAGAGAGGTTGGAGAAGAGAGTAAGAAGAGGCCGCTTACCGGATTTAAAATTGGTGAGATGTTCCTTGGGCTGGTGGGTCTGAGGACCTGAGGTCATAGGTGGATCTTTTTCATGGAGCAAAGAACAGGAGGACAGGGGATTGATCTCCCAAGGGAGGTCCGCCAATCCGAGTCATGGCACCAAATTTTATGCGCGTCCATGTGAAGAGACCACCAAACAGGCTTTGTGTGAGCAACATGGCTGTTTATTTCACTTGTGTGCAGGTGGGCTGAGTCTGAAAAAGAGAGTCAGCAAAGGGTGGTGGATTATCATTAGTTCTTACAGGTTTTGGGATAGGCGGTGAAGTTAAGAGCAATGTTTTGCGGGCAGGGGTGGATCTCACAAAGTACATTCTCAAGGGTGGGGAGAATTACAAAGAACCTTCTTAAGGGTGGGGGAGATTACAAAGTACATTGATCAGTTAGGGTGGGGCAGAAAAAAATCACGATGGTGGAATGTCATCAGTTAAGGCTATTTTTACTTCTTTTGTGGATCTTCAGTTACTTCAGGCCATCTGGATGTATATGTGCAAGTCATAGGGGATGCAATGGCTTGGCTTGGGCTCAGAGGCCTGACAATGTGTCCTATGATTTTCTTTTGAAAGATAATTTTTCTCTCACCAGTCCCCTGTTTTTACCAAAGACAAATCATAGTAAGACAAATTTATTTGCAAAATAAGTTTTAGTCTTGGCCAGGTGCAGTGGCTCATACCTGTAATCCCAGCATTTTGGGAGGCCAAGGCAGGCAGATCACAAGGTCAGGAGATTGAGACCATCCTCGCCAACATGGTGAAACCCCGTCTCTACTAAAATACAAAAAATTAGCCCAGTGTGGTGGCACGTGCCTGTAGTCCCAGCTACCTGGGAGGCTGAGGCAGGGGAATTGCTTGAACCCAGGAGGCGGAGGTTGCATTGAGCCGAGATCACGCTGCTGCACTCCAGCCTGGCAACAGAGCGAGACTCTGTCCCCACCCCCCACCACCAAAAAAATTTAGTCTTATTATTAAGCTTATTATGCTTGGACTGATTATTTGCATAAAATGTAGCAATAATAGTGATTGGCCATATCAGCTGTTTTAACATCAGAATTTCAGATTAGACTTTTAAAATCCTCAAGGCTAGGAAGCCAAGCCAGGGATTTGCCATTAGACTGTGCTTGTGGTACCTGTGTGAATTGGGTGCATTCCTCTTTCTTTGAGGTTCCAAAATAACTTGAGTTTCATAGGCCTGTCAGAAAGTGACATTTTTTACTTAACACAGGTTAGAAACCTTATGAAACCTCATAGACAAGGTACCAGGCCAGTCTTTCCAAGGGGCTTATTATCAGCTCTATAAAGTCAACCTTTGTTTCTCAAAGCAATCTGATCTTACTGGAAAATATGACACTCTGGTCAAAGCCTTAGTAAAATAACCAACCTCTAATGTGCCTGTTACAAAAGAAAACAGATTCATATTGAACTTACACAAATAACTATATTGCCATAAAATAAGAATACTCACATATAGTTTCCAAATTCTGGAGAAATCAGAGAGAAAGATAAATGCTTCAAATCTGCTCACAAAGGTATACTTTACCTGATTGTTGTAAGCTATAAATAGCTCAAAAGAAAAAAAGTTTTCTTGACTCTGGAAAACAAAACATAAAAAGAATCAATAACCAAAAAAAAAAAAAAAAAAAGAACCCAAAATCTCTTTTTGTTTTAAACAAAGAAGTCATAAAAACTATTTCAGTTCTTTATTAGTTTAGTTCTATTTAATGAATTCTTATTCCACTTGATGTTGAGTTAGCAATCTTTTTTTTTTCTTTTTTTTGAGATGGAGTCTTGCTCTGTCACCCAGGGTGGAGTGCAGTGGCACGAGCTCAGCTCACTGCAGCTTCTGCCTCCTGGGTTCAAGAGATTCTCCTGCCTCAGCCTCCCTAGTAGCTGGGATTACAGGCGTCCACCACCACACCTGGCTAATTTTTGTATTTTTAGTAGAGACAGGATTTCACCATGCTGGCCACGTTGCTCTTGAACTCTTGACCTCAGGTGATCCACCCTCCTCAGCCTCCCAAAGCACTGGGATTACAGGTGTGAGCCACCACACCTGGCCTGAGCTAGCAATCGTCATGATCATATCAACCTTTTAATTAGAGGCTTGGAAGTTTTTACCTGGTTCAATAGTATAATCACTAAAGTTGTCAGAAACCTGTATTCAAGAGTACTTGTGAAAGTCTTTTCCATTAATTCCTTGAAGAAGAAGCAAATTTTGGACCATAGCCAACTATAAACCAGTTTTTGAGAAGAGTCAAATTAAAACAATAATTGTCTAGATGACAAAAGTCTAGAATAGCCATGGTTAAAGATATAATTGACAAGGAAATTTGGTTATTTTTGTGGTGTTTAACATAATAATCATAATTATTACTGATAACATATACTAAGACATATAAGAATTTTAGGAGTCTCATACAATTTTGGAACATATATTAAAACACATTTATACAAATATAACCCAAATAAAGTTAAACACTATTTCTTATTTGACAATGCGTCCCATATGATTTTAACATATGAAACAAGTCTAATATGTCTCTCTTAGACTTTCAGGGGCCCTAATATCCAAAAAGTTAGTTTGAGGTCAAAAAGATTGAATTTAGAATATGGAATTTTGATTTTGGAAAGTTAGTCAAATACCAAAGATTTAAAACACTTGTTCAAAATAGGATCATGGGTCACTGGAAAATGATAGTTATTCATTTAGCCAAAGTGATAATTCAGAGATTTCAAAAAGCAAAAACTTTTACTCTTTAATAGAGAGGAGACTCAGTTTCCCAAGCAATCATGAGACCTAATAAAGACACCATGAGGCAAACTGAATCTGTCTTTTCTCTCTCCCCTTTATATCTTTTTTTGCAGTTTACTCGAAGGTAAACAAAAATATTTTTCTATCTCTTATTAATACTACACAAAAATCTTGTTCAAAAGAGAAGACCAAATTCTACCTTTGTATCAGCGTGTTACTAATACTAAAGCCAGCCTTAATAAACCTTGTAAACAAGTCTATCCAATCTCAATCAGTTTTGACCACAAGGTAAGGTTTCCATAAACCTTTTACAACCTCTTACAATTTTCCCATTTTCTCTCTTTCCCCAACTTTCTATATCCGTTCTTTTTATTCCTTCAATTTAAAACAACTTTTTAAAACCTCAAAACTAGACAAAATTACTTTTCCTTTAACAAAAACTACATTCTCATGGCTTTTTATAATCTTTTAAAACAAAAACACAGCTCTTTTCTTCTGTGTCCTCAGCAGAATTGCCCTTAATGCCTCATTCACAGTAACCCATGCATTTCTAGCCTGCACCTCTAAATTCTTCCAGCCTTTACCCATTATTCACTTCCAAAGCCACTTTCACATCTTCAGGTATTTGTTATAGTGACAGCCCCTCTCTGGTACCAATTTCCTGTTTTAGTCTGTTTTGCGCTACTTTAACACAAATACAACAGACTGGGTGATGTATAAACAGTAGAGGTTTATTTGGCTCACAGTTCTGGAGGCTGGGGAGTCCAAGAGCATGGTGGTGCTGTCTGACAGAAGCCTTCATACTGTGTCACTCCATTGAGGAAGGTGGAAGGGCAAGAGAGGGCCAAATTTGCTTTTATAACAAATCCACTCTTGGAATAAAAAACCCACTATAGCAATAATGACATTAATCCATGAGGGCTCTGCCCTCATGACCTAATCACCTCTTAAAGATCCCACCCCTCAACACCGTTGCATTGAGGATTAAGTTTCCAATGCCTAAGCTTTGGGTGACACATTCAAACCATTGCAGGAAGTGATTATTTAATGGACATGAAGTATTTTTCCAGGGTGATAAAAATAGTTTTGAAAGTAGAGAGAGGTAGTGGTGGAAAAACATTCTAAATCTACTAAGTGCTGCTTAATTGTCCACTTTAAAATAGTTACTTGTATGTCACATGAATTTCACCTCCATAAAAATAATCATGAGACACTTTTTCATAGTAGCCCTAAAATAGAAACAACTCAAATGTCTATCAACTAATGAATGGATAAAAATGTTGCTTATCTATACAATGGAATATTTTTGCCATAAAAAGGAATAAATTACTATTTGCCCTAAAAAGAAATAAAGTACATGCTACAACATGGATGACTCTTGAAATCATTAAGTGAAAGAAGCTAAACATAAAAAGCCATATATTGTATGATTCCATTTATATGAAATGTCCAAATTAGGCAACCCATAGAAACTGAAAGTACATTGGTACCAGGGGCTGGAGTGGTGGGTGAAGGTGGGAGGGTGGAATGGGGAGTAACTGCTAATGGATAAAGGGTTTCTTTTGGGTGTGATGAAAGTGTTCTGGAATTAGTGGTGATGGCGCACAATTTTGTGAATATACTAAAAACCACTGAATTGCTCACTTTAAAAGAATGAATTTCGTGGTATATGAATTCTGTTTCAACAAATCTATTATAAAACATTATGGGACTATGAAATGCACCCAAAATATTTCTTTCTAAAAGTAAATCCCTTACCTCAAGCTTCAAATATCAAGTTAAGACCACAGCTGCAGAAGTAAACATTAAATTTCATACAAACAAGTTGAAAACAACATACCATGTTGTAAAGAGTGGAAATTGCCTCTAAGGAATCAATGCTATCTTAGTCTCCCAGTGAAGCAGGGATCACTGATTTTGGAAAATCACAATGTGAAAAGTTGAGCTACCACTAATTTTTCTCTTTATTGTAAAGGAGGAAAGAGGAAATATGTGTATAGCACACAAGAAAATCTCAATTAACCAAAACGTTCAGTAATTGGTGGTTTTATTCAATTAACTGCAAGCTAACTAGAAAAACCCTTTGGGTTCCAATTCTTCATGAATTTTTGTCTGTATGTTTGATTATTTCTTTTTTATAACAAATGTGCTGACTCTGATTACTAATTCAGAGATCTGCAAAGCCTTATGGCCATCAGTTATAAAAATCAGTGCTTGTTATATAGCACCATAGGCACAGAAGGTACAGGGCTTTTGGATGGATGTACACTAACCTTAGACATAAGTGGATAAGGATGTGAGTATGTGCATATGTTTATTCCCCAGTGTTAATTTGTAATCTTGTCATTTGCCTCTTTGATAAAACATAGAGTGATGAAAAAAAAAAAGTCTGGTTACTTTGAGATTATTTATTGAGTATCTACTATATTACCTCTACAGTAATAGAGGTATTACTTCTTACTTCTGTTATACTAGACACTTTCACGTTATCTTATTGTTTTCTTTTTTTGTGTTCCAGTAGGTTGTATTTAAAAAATCAGTGCTTTCATGTAAACTATATGTGGTCCTGTGATACCATGGTGATTCAAAATAGTAGGCTATATCTGTGGAAATTATATTCCTAAATTATATTTGTATATGTCAGTGTATCTATCGTTCTGCCATAAAGAAATAAAACATGTTTTTAGAAAATTCTAGTAAAATTTAGTATTCTGGAAAGTTATTTTGTAGGTTGAAAGAACCCTGCCCCTTCACAAGGCTGGGAATTCACATACACATAATTGTTAGGCTTCAGACATGAATCGGAGCTGCTGACAGGGTGATTGTTGGTTAGTGAGAGGGGAGATGGAAATCTGGCAAAGAACCCCAGTCCTTCCTTCGCCAATAGCTTGTGTGCTCTGGCAGTGGTTGCAGCTTACTCCCTGAGATGAGGATTTGTCACTGTAATCAATGTCTTCGACCTCAAGGTCTCCCTAGCACTCCTTCACCAGGAATATAAAGGTGGTTTTTGTCATGCTAAATCAGTACCATTCGTTTTATCTGTGTTGTGTTTTGGAACTTTTGCTCTTTTAAATCATTACCTACGTTTGATCAGTTTTGTTACTATTTATAGCAGCCACTTACTGTGCCAGATATTGTGCTAAGTACTTTATATACAATGTATGGTTTATTACAACCATCTTATGAAGTTGGTATTTGTATAAGTTAGGGGGTGTGTGTGTGTGTGTGTGTGTGGCTGTAAGCAACAGAAAACCCAATACTCAACAGGTTAAACCATAAAGACATTCATTCTTAACAAGAAACCTGGAGATGGATAGACCAAGTTTGGTTCAATAGATCAGCGTTGTCCCCAGGGACCCGGGCTCTTTCAGGCCTTTGGCTCTGCTGTCTTTAGTGTGTCCGTGATGTTTCTTCTCGTGTTCATAAGACAACTGCCGCAGCACCAGACATCATGTCTCAACGGCGGCATCCAGAGTGGGAAGCAAGGGGGCAAAGGCAAACGGGCTTTCTTTTTTTCTTTCTTTCTTTCTTTTTTTTTTTTAGATGGAGTCTCGCTCTGTTGCCCAGGCTGGAGTGCAGTGGTGTGATCTTGGCTCACTGCAACCTCCCTTCTGAGGTCCAAGCCATTCTCCTGCCTCAGCCTCCCACCACAGGTGCGCACCACCTGTGATTGCAGGTGTGCACCACTACACCCAGCTAATTTTTGTATTTTTAGTAGAGATGGGGTTTCACCATGCTGGCCAGGGTGGTCTCGAACTCCTAACCTCAAGTGATCCATCCGCCTAGGTCTCCCAAAGTGCTGGGATTTCAGGCATGAACCACTGCACCCGGCCCAAATGGGCTTTCTCTTCATGTATCTCTCTTATCAGAGAGGAAAATCTTTCTCAGAAGCTTCTAGCATATTTCCCCTTCAGTCTCATTGCGTGGAATTTGATGACAAGCCTTCCCATAGGTGCTGAACAAAACTAAGATCTGTTGTCACTCATTGAAGGAGATGGAAATGGCTATTAGGTAGGCAACCAGGGTCTGTCTTGCATTATTTTCCCTATTTTACAGGTGAGGAAACTGAGGCTTAGAGAGATTAGTAAGGTCAAACTGGAAGGACAAAACCAAGATTTAAAACAGATCCGTCTGCCTCCAAAGCAGTTTGCTGTCACATTACTTGCTTTAGCCTGGAACTTGCTATAAGGCAGAGTTACTATTAATCACATCAAAAGGAATTTATTACTGAAAGTGTCAGAAAAACTGCTTTTTAACAGTGATTAATACATAATTAGGTCTCAAAGCTAGGAGTCTTTGGACAATGATGGATTCATGAATAACAGGAAACTAGGTGAGAAAAAACACAAAGACAAAGAAGTATCTTAAAAGAAAGTAAATGTTTATAATCTTTTTTGGCAGGCATCTGCAGTCTTTTAATTCTGCCCTTTCTGCCCCCGCTCCCCGCACTTGACTTTCCAGAAATGGCCAATTTCTTTCAAATGCTGTATACTGGAAAAATCCAAAGGACTCATCAGATGAACACATTTCAAAGAGCCACTACCAATTTTTTTTCTTAAGCAAAGCATCAAGCCTCTGATTTGCCGCTGATAAATTCTCTGTAAGTAGCATTATAATTAAGCACACACAAACCATTCTGTGTTTCCAAGAATACAATTGGGCTGGCACTGAATCGGTGATAGCGTGCAGGCACCGGGTGGGAGGGGTCCATTGCATCTCAACTACCATGTACCGTCTTTGTGCCGAGACCAATCCGTCTCTCTCCTTGACACCCTCTGAATCACAGGCCATTGCCCATTCACCCCATGTCTGTCACGGAGCTCTTTTATGGGGCACCTTCACTGAGCCTTGAGACTGTGGCCGTCCTGCTTCTAGGCTCTGGTCAGAGAAAATGCCAGGAAAGCAAAGTGCAACATGACTTCCTCTCTCAGCATGACTTCCTCCCACCTCCTACCAGGCTGGTGGAAAAAAAACCAATGGTGTGAAAGCAAAACTGGGAAAAGAGAGAGGCAGCTCGGGGTGGGGGTGGCAGGGGTGGCAGGAAAGGGCTGAGCGGTCAGTCAGGCTTCCAAACCTGGTTTCACTGCCCTGGCTTACAAGGCTTTGACAAGGTACCTTACCCTGACATGCCTCAGTTTCCTCCTATGTAAATGGGGAACCACAACACCAACCTTGAAGACTAATTGTGAGAATAAGCAATAATTTATGTAAAACACATGGGATATCATAAATGCTCAATATATTATAGCACTTATTATTACCAGCCTCTTAGTAAAAAGTTGACAGTCTGTTAGCACGAAACATTTAGCATGTGTTATTGTTGTGGTTGTTCTTGGATATCTACAGGATATAGTTGCTTTAAGTTTTAATGCATCAAAAAAATCCATAACCCATTTTTGGAAATTCAGCACACAGGAAAGTGAAAAGTAAGTAGCCTGGGAGTGTTGTGTGTATAGAAGTCAACAGTGGCAACCCTATCTCCCCCTGGCTTCTATGCAAACAGTTTCTTTTACAAATGTGTTTTTGGTATGCAAATCACTCTATGCAGATTTCTGTGTGTGCAAAATACAGCATAGAAAAATGGCCTTCTTGCCAAGGAAGACAGGAGATGTTGGCTGCCGTCAAATGAAATAGCAGCAAATTTTAGATTTCTTTTCCTACTGCTCTTTCTAACAATGTATGGGGTGAGCATATTTTTGGCACGTTATACTCAACTATTTTGGCTTTAGATTGTGTGTTCTTGTGATAAAAGTGTGGTTATTGAAGCATGTAACTACTTTTTGAAGCCGTAATCATGTTTAGTGGTGTTTAATTTAGAATTTCACAACAGCGTGCTACCTCAGGTTAGTTCTAAACTCACAGATGGCTTTGCATGTAAGGTTAGGCTGCTAGTGTCTGTGTACTTCCTGCTTTTCTGTAAAGACTCCAGCTTATTAAAGGATTTAATGTCATATTTTGGAACATGTTTTCTCCCTAATTAATGTATGGCTTAGTAAGTGAAAAGAATACATTTAATATTAAAATCCTCCTTTTCTTTTGGTGCACATTGAAAGCTGGCACATAATTCACAAGGAAATATTTTACCATCCAGGCAGAATAAGAATACATCTCTTTTAGGGTATTCCTTGCCATTTCCAATGCCTTTTCCCATTGGTTCTTCTGTGAGCTAATGGAAGGAAGTGAGATACAAACTTTGTCTAAGGTCACTTGTCATAGAAGGCCTGTCGACATCCAGGCCTGGGTTTTTGTTTTCCTCAATCATATGCAAGAAACACAGCACCTGTAAACCAGTGGCCCGAAACCGTGCTTTCTCTCTCTCCTCTTCTTTTTCCCTTTCCACCCAAGCATTTTTTGCTTGTTTTGGGTGTTTCGAACTTGCCAAATGAGCCACTCCTTAATTTTACAAAATCAACGTTTAATTTGAAGGCATTTTTCAAAACAAAGTACACGGCCTGAGAGAGAGTGCCAAGTGCGGCTTACCCTTATCGGACATCACCGATCGCTGGAGAGAGGGTGGAGGAGAGTGTCTCCTCTCGCTCGTTATCTGTTTACTCACTCATGCTGACCTGCATTCATTCACTCGATCCACACCCTGCTTCATAGGTGTCAGACACTGCTCCAGGCCAGGAACACAAGAAGGAAAGTAGACCCAACCATGGAGGAGTTGGCTGTCTCCTGGGAGGCAGATGTGTAGACAAGGCACACTGGCATTGACGCCACAACAGAAGTATGTACCAGGTGTGAAGGGGTGCAAAGGTGGGGTGGTTAACGCCACCACACTTGTAGTCAGGAGACGCTCTGTGGAGGAGTTTCATGTGAGCAGGTGTTCTCCAGATGGGCAGTCATAGGTGGGAAAGGAGCACTGGAGGCTGCGGAGCAGTGAGCACACGGGCACGGTAGCCTGAACCCACACACCATGGGGAGCTTTTTCAGTGGAGAAATTTCTTTGGGCTAAGAACAGAGGTGGGGGAAAGTGTGGGAAATATTCCCAACATGTCCCCGTTTTTATTTCCACTCACTACCCATGGTAGGTCACCCTATGACTGGTCCAAATTATTGCCACATCCGATAACTGGTCTTCTTGCCTCCAGCTTCTTCCTCTCTGACACAGAAGAACATTCCCAAGACCCCTGTGTTGCATTCCCCTCCTGCAGGGGAGCCACTGTGGGCAAAATTAAGTGCCTCACCCCAGAGGCTATGAGGCCTGTCATGGTGTGGTCCCTCCTGGCCACTGGCATGGGTCACTTCCCACGCACTGCCTAAACCTCACACAGCCTTTCAGGTGCCCGGCCCCTCCCCTCCTCTGTCCATGTCCATCCCACTGGCCAGCCCATCTGCCCCTCACTTGATCTTCACTTCAGCCCTTCAGGATTCCACCTGGGCCCCCTTTGTCTGGCTGGGATGGGTTCCATCCCCGTCTGCCAACAGCTATCAGGGAATAAACGAAGGCTTTAGAGTCCCAAGATGTGGGTTCCAATCCTGGCTCAGGCTTTAGACAAGTTTTTGAAACTTAGTTCCCAACAGTGGAAGATGACTGCCTCCCTTGCACAGTTGTCCTAGGATGAGCAGAGCATATTCACATCAGTCTTCAGATGTTGCAGTTGTTATGGTTACTATAATTTAGCCTCTGTGTGAAATTCAGGTCATGGTAACTACCTTTCTAAGGTATGAGGATCATGTATACTGATGGGCATGAAATATTTGTAAACAAAAAGCCCTTGGATAAAGTTTATTATTATTTGTATCTCTATCAGCATATTCATTCATTCATATTTTTTTTAATCCATCCATTCACTCATTTAACATTTACTAAATTCCCAAAAGCTGCTACATGTTAAGCTCAGCAGGGAGGTTAGAAAGATGAGTTTGAGTTTGAAATACCTCAAAAGAGCTCATAGCCTCATGGGGGAATCAGACAGGGAGGCAGTCAAGTCTCAACCCAGGAGCGGAACCCTGCAAAAAGTTGGGAGCTGTGGGATATGGGGGAACCAAGGGCTTAGGGATGAGTTCCAGAAGAACAGCCCTGTACTTGGATCTGGAAGGATGGGGAGGGAAGGGCATGACAGCTGGAGGGAACTGTATTGGTCAGTCAATATGGGCCAGAGGGGTGAGACGGCTTTTGGGAGTCAGGAAACTGCAGCATCAGACTGAGGATCCAAGCTTCTGGGGCTGTGGGTTAGGGGGAAGGAGAGTGGACGTGGGGCGGGATGCACCTGGGAGGCGGTGGCAGGTCAGGAAGGTAGACTGGGCCTGAGGGTGAAGGTTCCAGGTGCCTGTGTGCTCAGGAGGTGGGAGGACCCTGCAGCTCCAGCCAGGCTGCAATCCCTTTGAAGGCAGAGAGGTTCTGAGTCATCTTTCTACTCCCACAACGCTCACAGCACCCTCACCACAGTGCAGTCTGGAGAATCCAGAGGGGAGACATGTGATGGGCAGTTCTGAAGATGAGTAAGCAGAGCCATCCCCAGCTGCCACCCCGGGCTTTGCCTCACTGTACCCCATCACCCACCCCTCATGCCACCAAGGGGTGCAGTGGCCTGTTTTTGCCAGGGAGCTGTACCATCCATATGACAATAATACAAGTCAACAGGATGCTACAGAATTTGACTTTTGGTAAATTTTGCTGCAATGCACTTAGCTACAAAGAAGGGCAGTCCATCTACCAAAATGCTTTTGAAGTGTTCAGGAAATGACTCACTGTAAAGTTTAGGCTTTGAAAACACCTCTGTGGGACAAGGCCGACAAGTGTGTAGGTGTTAAAAGAAACACTAAGTTATTGACTAGAAAATGGGCAATAGGGTATGTGAGGATAAACTGTCAGAGGCTGGGGGTTAATGACCTTTTCTCTTCTTGCATGTGGAGAAATAAGCACTTGGAACAGAAAGGAGCTCTACCCAACTACCCGGAATGCAGGCGGGCCTGGGACTATGTGACTACCACCCTCTAAGTGAGGTTTTGAAAATAAACACTTGAAAGTCTGCCCAGATTGTTGTAATCTTATTAATCTAACAAAGAGACTCAGTGGCTGCCTTAACCAGGGGTTCAGTGTTTACCATGTAATTTGTAACAAGCTGATAAACACACCCTGGCCCCACTTGAAGAAAAATCTCCTGCTCCCTGCAAGGAAAGCAGTTGGCAGAAAAACAGTAATCGAGGATTAGAAACCAAAAAGACCATGCCTTAGGTTCCAGGCCACCTCCCCTGCCCCCTGGACTGCCAGCCCCCTGCCATCTCCAAGTTCAGAGGTGTTGTGTGTGGCTTCTCCTGGTCTCGCTCTCCTAAGATCTGTCAGATGCTCTGGCCCTTCCCAGTGGCCGGACTGTCCATGGACAAGGAGCTCCCTGTGTGGGATTTCTGCCTTGGGGTCTTTCTGCAGGGTCTGGGGCCATTCTCCATTCTGTGGGGGAATTTAGGCCTGTCTTCTGAGCTGACCCTTCTCGCTGGTCTGAGGGCATTCCAGAGGGCAGTGGTATTGGACAGCAGTGTTGAGCATGGCTCTTCTTGGAGCTCTTGGTTGCATTCCACAGGGCAGCCTCTGGTGATGCAGCAGAAACGGGATTTATTGGAAGAGCAGCGGGCAGGAGCCAGGGCGGTTATGCCAAGTTAGCACAGGGACAGTCTACTGATCCCCCACACTGGTCAGCCACCCTTCCCCATGCGGCCACCAGCCCTGCAAGGCATCTCCAAGAAGGGTCCCGGCACCTTTGTCTCGCTCCCTCAGGATCAAAGTCCTAAGCCTCCCCCAGGCCCACCTTCTGCCTCCTTCATGCAGGGTAAGCCCTGCCTCCCACAGGGACCCCCACAGAGGGAAAGACATTTGGATGCTGGGTAAGTTAAGAGATGAAAAATGCCCACTTCACTCCTCTGAATCACCATGCCTAACATTTACTGACTGCTTTGCCATCCTTTAAATGGTATAACTCATTGAGTCCTCACAACAGGCCGAGAAGAAATGGCTGTTTTTACAGATGAGAAACTGCGGCACAGAGAAACTGAGTAACAAGCCCAAGGTCACACGGCTGGGAAATGGCAGAGCTGTGAGCCAAGCTTCACCTTGGGGTTTGAACAGAGGTCCATCTGTTGCCTACAGAGGCTCTGGAAGCTGCTTGTAAACCTGACCTAAATGGGGCTGCCCTTATCTCCAGGTCATCTGTGTCTCTGCTGCTAACTCTTGCCCTGCTTGCGTGCCCTGTTTTGGCTTGAGTCTAGGCCCACTGACTCCCTGACCCATCTCCACCATCCAGGATCTTACTTGCTCCCAGTCACAGCCCTGGCCCTCTCACCCCCTATGTCTGGGCAGGGTCCCTCTTGTATTTCACCCTGGTTCTTGAGAGTGTGTGGCCCACATCAGAAACACACAGAATGCCAAATGCCATGGTTCATTCTAAGTGATACATTCTTCCACGGTAACTGCCCTATCAGGGCGTGCTTCAGGATTTGAGTCACTCAGTGAAAAAGCATACTAACCTTTACAGACCTAAGGTTTGTAGTTTTTTTTTTTTTTTAAAGTGTCATCAATCAGTGATTGTAACATGTACAACAACAGAATTGGACATGTAGGGGTGTTTACTGATTTAAAAAGATTGCCATGCGTGGAATCTGGCACACAGTGGGCACCTGATCGATATTTGCTGCATTAAGGAATGAGAGTCAGGGGCCTGCGACGCCGGTGGTTGCAGCATTTATTGAAGGATTTACGTTCTTTTTTGCTCATGTTATGAACAAAGCCTCATTTTCAGGTTTTTTTTTAAGTCCTTTCATTAATTTATTTCTCCTTTTCTTACCTCCTTTTAGATTATTGATTACCTCCACTTTTTTGTGTGCATGGCCAGATGGCAGAGATGCTGTTACAGAGCGGAGCATCTGCCTGGGGCATGTTTCTGCACAAAAGCAGCATTCTACCAGCGACTGGAAGGTTGTTTAGGGGGCCACCTCTCCCAAGGGTCTAAACCCCATAAAAGCAGTTTCCTGAAAACTTCTCTAAGGTTGCCTCTAATGCTGGAAGTTCCTTGAGGGTAGCTACATGTGCTGGCCCCAAGCCCACCAGCCAGCCTAGGAAAGGACTTTTTTGCTTAGCCTTCATTTTAGTGACACTCCTCCCTGCTCTCCCCCACCAGCCACACACACACACACGCAGCGTGAGAGAATTCTTCATGTTCCACGCCATTACTGAAATCTAAATGTGACTATTTAGACTCAAAATCGACCAGGCGGGAACCGTGTTAGTCAGTTTGTCTTATTCTGCAGAGCCCATATCCCACTGTGAATTCTCAGCAAGACATCATAATTATCCATAATTAGATAAAGTCTGAACATTAAACCCGTCCTTCTAAAAACAAAAACTGGTGGTTTGCAACACACTAGATCTTCTGCAGTCCAAAGTTGCGGCTGGAAGGAAGCTGGCAAACTCCTTAAATGCAATGGTGAATAAAGTTTTTGAAATGACAATGGGCCAATACTTTAAAAATAAATCTGTTTCGAATGAAAAGTAATTTAGGATTTAAGACTCCAGTAGTGATGCAAAAAGGAAGGGAAAGGCCTCAAGACACCTTTTGCTAAGTCGGAGCGATTGAATTCATTCCCACCAGCTTGATCCTTTCCTGAAGGCAGCCAGGGAGTGCGTCCAGTCACCCTCAAACATCTCATCAATCTCCTGCCACAAAAATGAATCAGCATTGCACACAGACCCTCATCCTACAGCCCCTCAGCAAAAGCACCTGCCAGGCTGGGTTAGAAAGGAGTGACACGGCCGGCCACAGATGGAAGTCCCCAAGCTGCAGCACTAGGGGGCCAGCGGGAGGAGCGGAGCAGCCCCCACCGTGAGTGCCTCGTCTCCTCCGGGACCTGTCGGTCTCACATTCCCTCCAGCATAGATCTGTCATATCCTGTTGTCAGCGGCAGAGTGGGTGGGCAGATGTGTGCATGGCCAAACAGCAGAGATGCTGTCACAGAGCGGAGCATCTGCCTGGGGCATGTTTCTGCACAAAAGCAGCATTCTACCAGCGACTGGAAGGTTGTTTAGGGGGCCACCTCTCCCAAGGGTCTAAACCCCATAAAAGCAGTTTCCTGAAAACTTCTCTGAGGTTGCCTCTCATGCTGGAAGTTCCTTGAGGGTAGCTACATGTGCTGGCCCCAAGCCCAACCAGCCTAACACCTGGTACATCAGGGCTGAGTTACGCATCTGGTGCCTGCATTGAAACCTCTGTGGCCCAACTGCAGCAGTGTTTTTCTGCCCCGACAGGACTTATGAGAGTCTCCTGGGGTCCCTGCGTCTCCCTGTTCGGCAAACACAGATCTAGGGTCAGACAGTTGTGGGTTCAGATTCCAGCACGGCCACTCAGGCAAGCTCCCTAGCCTCTCCCCAGCCTGGTGAGAAGGGCAGCGCTCACCTTTAGAGGTGATTATGCAGCACAGAAGCAGCACATGGGAGCACCAGACATGGCAGCCAGCACGCTCCAGGTGTCCTCCTTACTAGATTCTGTTTGTTGGCAGGATCTTTAAAAAGACCAGCCATGTGGCATTTCAGAGACTACAGAGATCAGAAACAGAGACAAGTCACTAGGGAGAGGGGCCTTCCCCGACTCCCAAATGCACGGGGATTTCTCCTTTAGGTGAGCTCTCCAGCGGCCTTCAAACTCCCAGCTGGGACCTGCAGCAGAGCCTATGCCCCATCTTGGGGTTACCTAGTCCACTCCTGGGGTCACCTAGCCTCCTCGTGGGGTCCCCTAGTCCCCTCATAGGGTCACGTAGCCCTCTCGTGGGGTCCTCTAGCCCCCTTGTGGGGTCTCCTAGCCCCCTGTGTGGAGTCCCATAGCCCCCTGCATGGGGTACCCTAGCTCCCTCAGGGGATTCCCTAGCCCCCTCATGAGGTCCCCTAGCTCCCTCGTGGGGTCCCTTAGCCCTCTCATGAGGTCCCCTAGCTCCCTCAGGGGATTCCCTAGCCCCCTGTTTGGGGTCCCCTAGCTCCCTCATGGGGTCACCTAGCCCCCTCATGAGGTCCCCTAGCTCCCTCGTGGGGTCCTTTAGCCCCCTCGTGGGGTTCCCTAGCTCCCTCAGGGGATTCCCTAGCCCCCTCATGAGGTCCCCTAGCTCCCTCGTGGGGTCCCTTAGCCCCCTCATGAGGTCCCCTAGCTCCCTCAGGGTATTCCCTAGCCCCCTGTTTGGGGTCCCCTAGCTTCCTCATGGGCTCACCTAGCCCCCTCATGAGGTCCCCTAGCTCCCTCATGGGGTCCCTTAGCCCCCTCGTGGGGTTCCCTAGCTCCCTCGTGGGGTCCCCTAGCTCCCTCGTGGGGCCACCTAGCCCCCTCGTGGGGTCCCCTAGCCCCCTCATGGGGTCACCTAGCCCCCTTGTGGGGTCCCCTAGCTCCCCCATGGGGTCGCCTAGCTCCCTCGTGGGGTCACCTAGCCCCCTTGTGGGGTCCCTTAGCCCCCTCATGGGGTCCACTAGCTCCCTCGTGGGGTACCCTGGCCCCCTTTTGGGGTCACCTAGCTCCCTAGTGGGGTCCCTTAGCCCCCTCATAGGGTCACCTAGCTCTCAGCAGCACATCAGCCTTGCCCGGGAAGGCAGGTGGGTAGTGCAGGCCAGGGACCTTGCCTCACAGGCCCACTGTTCCACAGTTCCCTGTACAGGGCCCATGCTTAGAGCAGCTCTTTTAGGGTCAGGCTACTGTTGACTGGGAAGCCCCAAAAAGATTGGGCCTGAGTCATCCTGGCACCATAGTTACTGTCTGGAGACTTAAGGGATGAGTCTCATTTGTGACTTTCTTCAGATTCTGCAAAATTTATAGCCTGTGAGTCTGTCCTGCCTCCCACCCTCCTTTCCTCATGGGCCCAGACTCCGCCCCGACACTGCCCCAGTTTTGCCTCTCACCCACCCAGCAAACCCTACCCAGGGACAGTCTGATGGCCTCACCTTCTCCATGCCTACCCAGGCTACTGAGTGCCACTGGGTTCTCAGCACTGCCAGACTGTTCAGAACTGTCATCTCCCTGTTCCACCCAACCTCCATTCAACCCTCACTCCCCTCTCAAACCCCTGCCCACTCCCCTCAGCAAGTGACTTTGGCCCTCACTCCATGGGGACTACAGAGATGCATTCCTCCTCCCCACCTTGCTCTCCCAGCTTCTCTTCTGCACCTACACCATCTCTATCTCCCTCTGTCTTAGTCTGCTTCCATTTCTATGAAGGAATAGTCAAGGCTGGGTGATTTATAAAGAAAAGAGGTTTATTTAACTCATGGTTCCTCAAACTGTACAAGAAGCATGGTGCCAGCATCTGCTTCTGGTGAGAGCTTCAGGGAGCTTCCACTCACAGCAGAAGGTGAAGGGAGCAGGTATCACCTGGTTAGAGAGAAGGAAACAGAGAAGGGATCTTTTAAACAACCAGACCTCCAGGTAAACTCATACAGCGAGCACTCATTCATTACAGCAAGGACACTGCAAAGCGATTCAAGAGGGATCCACTCCGATAACCCAAACTCCTGCCGCCAGGCCCCACCTCCAATACTGGGCATCAAATTTCCACAGGAGATTTGGAGGGGACGGATTTCCAAACTATATCACCTTTCCTGCCAGGCACTGGCAGGGGGTCCAGCCTCAGTCTCCCCATCCTCATCCTCTCTAGCCTTCCCTGGGGAATCTCTACCACTGCTCAGCTGTTTCTCCGCTGTGTTCCCAGGCTAAGCTGCTGGCACCACAAACCACCTTCCTGTGCCGATTTGAGACCTGGGAGTCATCCTTGGTTCCCCCTCCCTCCCCACAGGCTGTCTATTCCCTCTTCTGCACAGGATTCCTTCTCTCTTCCCATGGCCATCCTCACCTTGGTTCAGGCACCCTGCCCCCAGCCTGGCCTCCTCCCCCAGTCCTCCCTCTAGGCTGGATTGCATATCTGTCCAAGGTCAGACAATCATCCTTACCCAAGACCCTCAGGACTCCCCTAGCCTCCTGAGTGGGGTCTGCCCCTGACTTTAGCAGTACACCCATGGCCCTCTGTCATCTGGTCTCCATGACCACTCTGACTTAGGTCCTCCCCACTCTCACCCCTCCAGCTTCCCTCGGCCCTCTCCTAATTCTCTGCCATGAAACATGCAGGTTCCTCTGCCTGGAAGACCTTCCTCCCCTCCAAGCCCCCTCTTCAGCTGACCCACTCCTCTCCATCCTTCCAGACCCGGCTCATGCATCAGCACCTCCTGGGGCTATCCCCAGCCTCTAGGGTTAAGGTTATATAGCCCCTGACAATTCTTCTGTCTAGCCTGGATCACAAGGTGCTATTGTCATCTGTTTACACATCTGTCTTCCACATAGCCAGAGTGTTCCTCCAAGTCAGGAGCTGTGCCCCATTCACCTCTGGGTCCCCTAAGCCTGGCACTTGGTGAGTGGTCAGTGGCTAACTTGTGATGGAACTCAGGCTGTAAGATGTATATCCAATGTCCATACCTCTGGCCTGGCCAGTAAAATAACGTTTCCTGCTCATGCAGAAGGACTGTCTCCAGCTTCATCTTGTCTCCAACTCTGATGGCAGGAGCGTGGACTGCAGGGTCAGATAGTCCCAGGTTCAGGCCCTGACTTGGCCAATTATTAGTGATGGATTTTGGGCAAGACACTCAACCTCTCTGAGCCTTAGTTTCCCCATGTGTAAAATGGAGATGGTAATGCCTACCTCATAAGGTTCTGGTATAAATTAAATGACATGATGCAATGGGACCTGGTAGAGGCCCTGCATGTAGTAGACACATAAAAGTGGGAGCTATCACTCAGGTGGGCTTTTTAGTAACATACAGTAAATTAAATAGAATAGGGCTGGATTACATTAGCTACAGAAACAAGCCAGGTGCAATGGAGTGAGCCCCAAGATAAAAACAAAAAGACCTCAGTCCCACCTCTGTCACCAAACTAATGTCCTCACTGGGGTCCTCACTTTTTAAAAAAGGGATGGGCCAGGCACGGTGGCTCACACCTATAATCCCAACACTTTGGGAGGCCAAGGCAGGAAGATTGCGTGAGCCCAAGAGTTCGAGACCAACCTGGGCAATGTAGTGAGACGCACCTATAGTCCCCAGCTACTCAGGAAGCTGAAGCAGGAGGATCACTTGAGGCTGGGAGGTCTAGGCTGCAGTAAGTCATGATCGTGCCACTGAACTCCAGCCTGGGTGACAGAGAGAGACCCTGTCTCAAATTTTAAAAAAGGGGACAGCTTGGTTAAAATGGTAACCAGGTTAACTCCCAGTCACAAGTCCTCTGATTCTAAGATTCGTTGACTCTACAATTTCATAAACTGCCATATGTAGCCTGAGGCACGACTAAGGTCATTAAGGAGAAATGCTCAGAAAACCTAATTCTATTGAAGGGCAAAAGACTAGCATTAGAAGGCCAGGTTAGGCGATAAGTCCTTACCTGCAACTATTTCCTTCCACAGGAGAATGTGGCTTTCCTCCTGAAGCGTTCAGAGGTAGTAATGCTTAACACAGCTGTTTTGTGAGTCCCAACAATGCTTAACCTTCCCGTAATCACCGTGAATGGCTGGCAAGAGCTTATGCCTGAGAAATGCAGCCTTCTAGACAAAATTTTCAGGGAAATGGAGGCTTTAGACATCACAGTGTTTTCAAATACCATTATTACTGCTCTATAAATATCCCACGCCCACAGTGTATCAGGTGCCACATGGGAAATATTGGATTCAGTTGGAGATTTTCTTAAAAGACACATAACAGTACCATATGCCAGTCATCTTGTATAATATTTATGTACATGCTGCAGAAGCAAAGATTAGCTATGTCAACATGTATAGAAAAATCCCACAAAACAGAGTCCGTGGGATGTGTATTATCTGTACTTATGATCAAAAGCATTTGCTGACTTTCTTCACTACAAGAGCTATTTCACCCATAAACTACAGAAAGGTTAGAGGAGCAGGAATGAATAGAGTAATAACCAGGTGGAAATCATCAGCGATCCCTGCAATCTCCTACTAGTTTAGAGGCTCTGCAGGTGAAGAAAGCAGTTCCAGAACTGTGAACAGCAATTAACCCTTCCATTTACTTTGAATGAATGATATTTAAACACACTTTACTCCTTTTCAACGGTCCTCACCAGCACACCAAAGGGGACATTGCTTGGAGAAAAAATATTTTCTTGGAGACATGCAAGAGGAAAAATTATTTCCACTAGTATGATCCTAAGTGCAAAATTGTTCATGAGCACTGTGCAAGTAACCAGCCAGTTGCTTTAGGTAGATGGGTGGTATGAACTGAATTACGTCCTCCCCACTCATATGTTGAAGCCCTCACTCCCAACGTGATGGTATTTGGAGACGGGGCCTTTGGGAAGTTCTCAGAATTAGATGAGGTCCTTAGCGTAAGGCCCTCACAGTGAGATTGGCGCCCTTATGAGAAGAGACACCAGAGCTCTCTTTCGCTCGCTCTCTCTCACTCTCTCGCTCTGCCAGTGAGGACACAGCAAGAAGGTGGCGGTCCACAATCCATAAGAAAGCCCTCAGCAGAACTCAACCATGCTGGCACCCTGATCTCAAACTCTCAGCCTCCTGAAATGCAAGAAAATAAATGTCTGTTGTTTAAGCCACCCAGTCTATGCTATTTTGTTATGACAGTCTGATCTAATACAATGAGGTTCTTTCCCTCTGAGCTTTCATTGTAGATTGTGACAAGATCAAAATTCAAGATCACATTAAGCAAACAGACACACTAGAGTGGCCGAATCTTGGTAGAGTTTGTAGCTAAGAACTGAAAGGACATGTGACTATCTCTTAGGGCATTAATCCTGAGCTAAAAATATGAAATTGTCCTATTATTTGGAGAACTGAGCTGTACTAAACAGACTAATGCCAGCAAATGGTTTGAAATCCAGTAGCAATATTGTGGAGCCCAGGCAGGTGGAGTGGGGAGAGAAAGAACAACTTAGTTTATTGTGAATTGCATTTCTCTTTACTGTGCAGTTTTATTTTTAATTGCAAAGTGTCTGGTTGAGCAGTTATTACTGAAATTTATTTTTGTAATAAAAGCTCTTCGTTAAATCACAGTTTTATGAACAGTGACTTAAACCAGATTTTGCTGTAATAAATAAGATATTGAAGTGCTTTTAAAATTTGAAAAAGCTCTCTGTGGCTCACCCCAAATGTTAATGTAAATGTTAGGCAGAAATAACAGTGACCTAACGGGATTGTACAAGAACTTGCCAGGTGCTTGTGCTGAGCATGCTGAGGGCTCGTCTGGCCTTACTGGCCTGGTGTTCTGGATTTAATTTGATCCCCAAATAGCTGTGTGGCCTGGGACAGGTCCCTTTCCCTCTCTGGGCTTTAGTTTCCTCATGTGTTAAAAGAAAGCAAAACCAAAAAAGACAAGAAGGCTGAATCTTTCTGCTCTGACATGCTTCTCAGGAATATGGCTCCACTCAAAAGAAGGCAGCTCTGAAAGGTGAACTCCCAGACTGGGCAGAAAATGAAGGGTTAGGGGCAGAAGTGAAGCATGAAAATCCCTTGCCCAGGTGTGGAAGGCCCAGTGTGTCACACTGACACAGGATTCTTCCAGCTGGAAACCTCTGTGGTCAGTGGCACCTCTGCTGGGCTTCACTGGGCTCTGGGCTGGCTGCTGGACTCCCTCCACCCATTCGGTCCAGTGGGCCCCGCTCAGCTCCAGCTACTGACCCAGACCCCACACCCCCGGCTCTGTGCTCTGCCCACAACTGGTCCCAGCTTGCCACCTTGAACAGCTTCCGCCTTGGGGCCAGCATCTAGGCAAGGGGGATACAGTAGTGCCCGAAAACTCTCAGACGTCAGCAACACGGAGTCCCAAGGGATATGGCTTTTACCTGGAGAGTCCGGAGGCCTGAACCCCCAAGAGCTGTTACAGTTCTCTCTCCTTCCCACCCCTGCAGTGCAGTGAATGGTATGGGGGGTTGTTACGAGGGGCATGTAACAGGGGGTATGTTATGGCTCATTTGTGTTACAGCTTGCTTGTTCCTGCCATCTGCATGCTTTGGCAAACAATGGCATGTCACAGCTTATTCAGTCCCTTTGCCCCATTCTGGCCCAGGGCTCCTGGGCTGGCCTGGCCCAGCTGCTGCTTCCATCATGTGGGGAAGCCACCCCAAGCCAGCAGAGTGTTACAGCTCATTTCCCACCCCCGTTCAGTGGGTCCTGGGTTTCTGTCCCATGTCCAAGAAGAGTGAGGGTTATGTAGACAACTAGAGAGTGAGCAAGGTGGAGAAGAGTTTTATTGAGTGACAGAACAGTTCTCAACACTGGAGGGGACCTGAAGTGGGTAGCCCCTACCTGAAGGTGGGTAGTCCCAAGGTGTGGCTGAGTCGGGAGTTTTAATGGGCTCAGAATAGGGGGAGAGCCTCCTGATTGATCCATGGGTGGGCCTGGAAGAAGCACCATTGGATTGACTAAAAGGCATCAAGGAAGTTCTCACTCTGGGTTGTGGACTCTGCCTGGAACTGACAGCCTAGTTTTCAGGCTTTAAGCTGTCTTTGTCTTGAAGGTCAGGTTTCACCGGGGACCCATCCTGTCTGCCTAGGAACCCATCTGTTTCTGGCTGCTATCAACATGATTACCCTTCGTAGAGGCCCAGCTCCAGCCCCCACGTGGTGCTTGTGGCCAGGCATGTCCAAGGGCGTACATGGGAAAGTCCAGGCACAGGCGGAAGGCCCCAGGCCAAGGTACCCACAAGGGAGCCTCACATAGGAGTGGCCTGGGGAAGCAGGACGTTCAGAGGTGCCTCTGCAATGGGAGACTGGGTAAGAACCATGCTCCTGCAAAGGCTGGGCAGGTGCCAGGTGGGGGCTCATGGTTTAGTGTGCTGACTCCCGTCCACCCCATCCTTGAGCCAGCTCCTGGCAGCCAGTGCTGCCAGCCCAAAGGTGCAGGCAGAGGAGTCTCCAGTTGCCTTCCCACCCATCAGGGCTTGGGGTAGATTAGTTTGCTGGGCTGTCATAACGAAATCCCACCATTAAGACTGCGGCTTAAACAACAGACATTATTTTCTCACAATTCTGAAGGCTGGAAGTCTGAGATCAAGGTGTTGGCAGGGTTGGTTTCTTCTGTGGCCCCTCTCCTGGGCTCATACATGACTGTCTTCTTCCCGTGTCTACACATGGGCTTCCCCCTGGGCGTGCCTGTGTCCACATTTCCTCTTTTTATAAAGACACCAGTCATATTGGATTAGGGCCCCTCCTAATAACCTCATTTTAATTTAATTACCTCTTTAAAGACTTTGTCTCTATGTATAGTCACATTCTGAGCTACTGGGTGTTAGGATTTCAACATGTGAGTTTTAGGTGGCCCAGATAAGCCCCTCACAGGGGGCTGTGGATGCACTGATGGGACGTTGAATTCATTTTCTAGGGGGTGCCATAAGAAATCACCACAGACTGGGAGGCTTTCAACAACAGAAATGGATGTTCTCATAGTTCTGGAGGCTGCAAGCCTGAAATCAAGGTGCTGTCAGGGCCACACTCTCGGAAGACTCTAGAAGAGGTTCCTTCCTTGCCTCTTCTAGCTTTTGTCAGTGGCTGGCAGTCCTCAGCATTCCTGGGCTGTAGGCACATGGCTCTTAGTCCCTGCCTCTGTCTTCAAGATGGTGTTCTCCCCTGTCTGTGTACCCCGCACCTTCACGCAGTGTCTTCCTCTGTGTCGTGTCTAAACTTCCCTCTTATTACAAGGTCCACCCTATTCCAGTGTGACCTCACTTAACTTCATTACCTCTGCAAAGACCCGACTCCCAAATAAAGTCACATTCACGGTCACTGGGGGTTGGGACCTCAGCATATCCTTTGGGGGGACCCAATTCAGCCTACAGTGAACCCCTTCTCCTCATGCCACTGCCCCTACACCCTCACAGCTCCTCAGATATCATTATTTTGCTCATGGCTTCAGGAAGTGAGCTAACCAGCTTCCCCGGATTTGCAGCTGTTTTGAATGACTAACATCATTCTCTCTCCCTGCTCCCTCTTCTCTCCCTCTTTGTGTCTCTTTTCTTCTTCTCCTCCTTCCCCTCTCTTGTCCTCCCCCATTTTTGTCTCTCAGCTCTGCCTCTCTCCTCTTCTTTCTTCCTTGCTTCTCCCCTTCCCCTCACCCAGGCTCCTCTCCTGTCTGTCCCTCCGCTCTGA
Organism: Homo sapiens; assembly: GCF_000001405.40. Lineage (NCBI taxonomy): Eukaryota > Metazoa > Chordata > Mammalia > Primates > Hominidae > Homo > Homo sapiens. Next base: position 53,401,008 of record NC_000001.11, on the reverse strand, counting down.
GGTGCCCAGAGGACACCGTGGTTTCTCAGAGGCGACGACCGGGAAGAGTGTTTCTCGGCTGTTAGAAATGTCCTGAGTCTTGGCTTTGCTCTGGTGACCACACCATGGCTTTCTTTCCCAGTAGAGTGGGTCTGTGTTTTTCCAAGCATTTTACAATAGTATTTGGCTTTTCACTCTTTTGAATTCTAACGCTCTGGAATTAATAAAGTTAAAAAACAAAACAAAACACTATTTTCTTCTTCTAAGGAAGGCCCGGCTGAGAGGGGTCAGTTAATTCAGCCTGAGTCTGCCTGCTCTGTGTCTGCTGGTCCTTCTGGTAACAGGAGCCTCCTCCATGTTTTTGCTAGGCTGCTCTTTGCTATCTGGTTGGTCTATTCCGGGCCCAATTTTTGGTTTATCACCCTCTTTGTGGAATATAATGCATAAGTCCTAAATAAACTATTAGCAAACCAAATCTACCAGTGTATTAAAAGAATACTAGGCCATAACCAAGTAGAGCTTATTATAAGAACTCAAGGAAGATTCCAAGAAATGAACCATTGATATAATACCACAGCTGAATCTCAAAATAATTATTCTGCATGACAGAAGCCACACCAAACAAGAGTATATATGAAACTCTAGAAAGTGCAAACTAATCTGTAGTGACCGGAAGCAGATCAATGGTAGCCTGGAGGAGGGGGTGGGGTTTCGGGGTGGGGTGCCAAGGTGGGGCCAAGAGGAAGCTTTGGGGGATGATAGATACGCCCACGCTCTTGATGGTGGTGATGGATTCAGGGAGGGTATGCACATAACCAAACACCAAATCACACGCTGAAAAGATCAAGGAAGTTTACACATGTGTAGGGTCCAGCCCTATGGGGCTTAGCGGGTGCTCTCCCCATGTGCCGAGACGAGAGATGGTAAGAAATAAAGACATAAGACAAAGAGATAAAGAGAAAACAGCTGGGCTCAGGGGACCACTACCACCAAGATGTGGAGACTGGTAGTGGCCCTGAATGACTGGGCGTGCTGATATTTATTGCATACCAGACAAGGGGGCAGGGTAAGGAGAGTAAGTTGTCCAAGTGATTGATAAGGTCAAGCAAGTCACGTGATCATAGGACAGGGGGCCCTTCCCTTTTAGGTAGCCGAAGCAGAGAGGTAAGGCAGCATATGTCAGCGTTTTCTTCTATGCACTCGTAAGAAAAGATCAAAGACTTTAAGACTTTCACTATTTCTTCTACCACTATCTACTAAGAACTTCAAGGAGGAACCAGGAGTATGGGAGGAACATGAAGGTGAATAAGGAGCGTGACCATTGAAGCACAGCACCACAGGGAGGGGTTTAGGCCTCCAGATGACTGCGGGCAGGCCTGGATAATATCCAGCCTTCCACAAGAAGCTGGTGGAGCGGAGTGTTCCCTGACTCGTCCAAGGAAAGGAGACTCCCTTTCATGGTCTGCTAAGTAATGGGTGCCTTTCCAGGCACTGGCATTACCGCTTGACCAAGGAGCCCTCAAGTGGCTCTTATGCAAGCGTGACAGAGGGCTCACCTCTTGCCTTCTAGGTCACTCTCACAATGTCCCTTCAGCACCTGACCCTATACCCGCCGGTTATTCCTTGGTTATATTAGTAACACAACAAAGAGTAATATTAAAAGCTAATGATCAATAATGTTTATACTAATGATTGATAATTGCCCATGATTATCTCTATATCTAATTTGTATTATAACTATTCTTTATTCTAACTATTTTCTTTATTATACTGCAACAGTTTGTGCCTTCAGTCTCTTGCCTCGGCACCCGGGTAATCCTTTGCCCGTACACATGAAGGTGTTGACTAACGTTGCCGAGTGTATACCAAAATACAAAATACTAAAACCGAAAGCCACGCGGCAGATGGGAAGATGCAGCAACGTTTCCTCCATTCTGTCCCACACAGATGTATTCAATGACAGAGGATTCTGGAGTCCAAGGTTCCCCCAGGGTCTCTCTGTGTCTCTGTCCGCCCTTCCCAGTGGTGTAACTGGGCAACTATGTCTTACCTTTGGGCCTGTTGCTGTGAAATAAGGATAGAAAGCCCCACGACTCAGGGCTGTTGCAGGGTGAGAGGTCATAACTGCGAGGTGCTCATGACAATGCAGAGCCTCCGTAGATGGCAACGATGGGAAACTGACGATTACTCCCAGTCCCTGGGACCTTCTGCTGTGGGCGTGACCTAGCAGCTGGGGATCCTGCCTGCAAAGGCACGGCTCCTGCAAGCGTGTTGCAGGAAAAAATGAGATGTCCCCTGGGTGCAGGGACAAGAGTACTTATGAAACTCTTGTCTCAACACAGCACTTTAACAAGGTCTCTTATTCCCGAGTCCAGCTCAAGATCCCTCCTCACCAGCTTTCCAGAAATTGTTTTGCGATGCCCAGAGGAATGAGGCCTTCAACCAAAAGCAAACACCTTTTGACCATTTGAAAAGTGCACTGAATATATATTTTGAAAGCTGGGAGTAACAATAAATATGGTATCATAAAGAATACATTTGAAAGGAAATTCAGATATGCATTTGAAAAGAAAGGAAGCCCCAGTGCTGGCCCAGAACAAAGGAGAGGCAGCACCGAAGGCACAAAACGTTCAGGACATGTTTTGTCAGTGGAGTTTGTAACTTTTAGAATACATGACAAAGCTCTTCGGATTTCCAAGGGGCTGATGTCATCACCAAGTTCCACCATTCCCAGTGGAGGCTGAGACTAGCAATACATGTGAGGAGGCCTCTCAGAGGCTTCCCCTCTGGACTGTGAGGGCTGGAGGCATAGTTAGGCAGTGGATGGGGGAAGTCTTCCAGCATGGCTCAGGAGCACCAGTGTAAGTATTTGCATGATGGCACAGGCCCGACCTTGGATACTGTGGGGCTGCAGGACAAACCCATCTTCATCATCATCACGGCAAGCTCATATTGAGTGCTGACCCTGTGAGAGGCACTGTTTGAAACACTTCCCATCTTTCATATACATCTAATTCTATCCTGACAACAGCCCTATGTGTGTCGGTGCTATTATTGCCCCCCACCTTTTTTTTGTTTGAGACAGAGTCTCACTCTGTCGCCCAGCTGGAGTGCAGTGGTGCAATCTCGGCTCACTGCAACCTCCGCCTCCTGGGTTCAAGTGATTCTTCTGCCTCAGCCCCCCAAGTAGCTGGGACTACAGGCGTGTGCCACCACGCCCAGCTAATTTTTTGTATTTTTAGTAGAGACAGGGTTTCACTGTGTTAGCCAGGCTGGTCTTGAACTCCTACCCTCAGGTGATCCGCCCACCTGAGCCTCCCAAAGTGCTGGGATTACAGGCGTGAGCCACTGCACTGGGCCTTATTGCCCCCCTCTTTTAACCGATGAGAAAACTGAAGCATAGAGAGGGGAAGTAGTTTGCTCAGGGTCATACATGAAGGACTGGGGAGGGGGAAGGGAGTTGAGACGCAGGCAGGATAAATCAATAGAGGGGGCATTCTTGTTCACAGAGCATTAATCTAAACATTGGACTTGAAGGGTATTGGCTCCCTAATCCCTAGAAGGGTACAGGCCTGGGGACGCTCATCCAATGCCTGGGAGTGGGGGAGGTGGGTGCATATCAGGACCATTTAAATAATGTTGAGAAACAGGAGAAAGGGGCAGGGTCCATAACCTCCCGACCAAGTAGAAGGTACGGGGGACTCCTCGGTGTTTCTGCCTAAGGAACATCTGCATGGCCTCACATTTGATGAGGAAACTGAGTCCAAAGGAGCTAAACAACTTGGCCAGGGCCCCATGGTTAGTCCAGAGCTGGCACTTGAACTCAGGTCTTCAGGGAGCTAGCTTTGCCCATAGCTCTTTAAGAACTGTCAGAGTCCCTCTCACTCAGACCCTAGGAACTGGGGCCCTGAGAAGTGAAGGCTCTTGTTGCAGGCACAGCTGGCCAGAGCCACAGCCTCAGCTCTCTGTCTCCCCCGACCCGGCTCCTTTGTCTTATTCATGTGGTTCCTACGCCCCTGAGGCAAAGGCGAGACCCCTGTAGCTGCCTCTTCTGCCTGGCTCAGGAAGGGCAGGCATAATTGAGGAGCATAAATATGGCTTTTGAATGACCCCTTGATACCTGCCCATTGAGAAAAAGAACATCCATACCGGGAAAATTAAACGAATGCACTGCTCAAAAGACTTTGAGTGGAGAAGGCTCCTGATCAGATAGATCTGGGAATGCAGCCAGGAGAAAATCACTTCCATAGCCCTGCTGGGAAGCAGGGACAGTGACCTGGTTCGAGAAACCTTTGGTTAGAGACTGTCCTGACTGTCCCCTCTGGTAGGGGCTCCTGCCACCTCTTTCTCTCCTAGGACCACATTATCCACAGTTGTTTAGGACCTCTGATTGTCCTCCCTTAAAATGAAAGGGGTAGTCCCTCCGCTGGGGGTGGATAAACTGAGTATATCCTTACAACGGGATACAGCTTGGCAATGGAAAGGAGGAAGCTTCCCGCAAGCGCCACAGCAGTGAGGCTCAAAAGCACTGTGCCGAGTGAAAGAAGCCAGCTTGGAAGCTGCATGAGTAATGGTTCCATGTCTATGACATCCTGAAAGAGACAAACCACAGGGATAGAGATGGAGAGACCAGTGTGGCCAGGGTGGGGAGCAGGGGAAGGAATCAACCACAAAGGGCCCTGAGGGGATCTGGGGGTGATGGAGATGCTCTGAATTTTGTGGGGTGATGGAAACACTTTGTCGAAACTTCTCAAACTCTGTTAAGTGAATTTTACTATATGCGAATGATGCCTCAATACAGCTGATTGAAAATTCCTGGGGAAAGAGAAAGGAAGGTGGCAGCCACCGGCTCTGCCACTGTTGCATCCCAGTCCCTGCCTTAATGGTCACGTGGGAAGAGCCCCTTCAGTGTCTTTGGGGGAGGTCCAGTGCCACCTGGCACTCCCACCTTGGTGTGAGGGAATGGCCCAGAGACAGCTCCACCAGGAGAGGCACCTCCAGCCACAGCCCCCGCAGATCAGGTTGGTAGCCGGGTTTCCAGCCTCCGTACAGCAGGCACCCTCCTGGCTGGGTTCTGGAGGACTGCTGCTTCCTTTGTTGCAACCCTCACCAAGACTGAGCTCTCCCTGGGTGCGATCCCTGCGCAGGCACTGGGGACAAGGGCAGAGCACACTCTGGTGGGGTAGCAGAGCCAGCTGCAGACAATTATGACAGGTGAGACAGAGGGAACCGTGCAACTGCAGAAGCCCAAGAAGGGGCTAGCCCGAACCTGATTGGAGGTCAGAGAGGCTTCCTGGAGCTCAGCTGGGACAGGGATGAGGAGGAGTTGGCTATTGAGAGGCAGAGGCTGGCACGAGCCAGGGGAGTTATGAAGCAGCTTGGCCTCAGGGGCCGGGGGTTGGGGGGAGGCTGGGGGAGGGGTGCGGCAATGCGTTCTTCCTGGAGAATTATGTATGTGATGGCTGGTAAGCGCCCTCTTGATCTTGAAGGCTCATGAGTGTTTGACTCTGCACCCTCCTGAGGTAATGGTGGAGCTCCAGGAGCAACATTATCCAATCTTCATTTTAGGAAAATTGCCGTGGCAGCCAGTGGGGCCCAGGAGTTGCCACTTTCTGGGTTTCACATGCTAGCATTTGGGTTTTATTTTTCTTTGTAATATCTCTGGTTCATAAGGTTGTCACCTTTTAATTTTGCCATTAAAAGCAACCACAATTCTCTCCCACTATGTCAAAAATAAAAAATTTAAAAGTGAGGGGGCAGATTTTAATACCCAATGTTGGAAAGAAACTAATCTCAGAATATGGACCTATCTTTAAAACTGAATACATGCAGCTTAATAAATACTGACCATGGAGCCCCCACAGGCCTGAAAAGACTTTCCCAGGTCTTGCTGAAGTCTTCAGACAGGCTGGGATTCCAGGCCTTGGCTGAATCACCCTCACGGACAAGAAACAACCAGAAAGCACCCTAAACCATCTGCAGGGAGAAGGGAGAAGCGGGCAGGGGCTGGAATAGCCAGAGAAGGTTCTAGAACTGTACTGTCTGATAAAGTCACCACTAATCATGTGTGGTTTTGGTTCCTTGAAACATGGCTAGTCTGAATTCAGATGTGCTGTTTATACACTGAATTTCAAATATTTGGTATAAAAAATGTGAGTTATCTTAATAATTTTAATATTGATTATATGTTGAAATGGTAATATTTTGGAAATATTGGGTTAAAAATATTATGGAATTAATTTCACCTGTTTCTTTTCCGTTTTTAAAAATATGACTTGTAACAGATGTAAAATTCCTTATGTGCCTTGAATTTGTGTCTCTCATTACATTTCTGTTGTTCTACAAGGCAGAGCCCAAGCAGTGGTAGAGCGAGGGGCAGGAAGTGGTGCTGCCCTAGCAGCCAGGGGGCACAGCACGGGGGGCAGGGGGTGGAGAAGGGCACATCCAGAGACTGGACTCCATTGATTATGGGGAAGGATTGTTGGTCTTTAGCAGAGAAGCGAGCTGTGATTGGGAACAGGATCTCTCTGTGGCAGCATGCAGGAGATCAAGCCTGGGCAAAGCGGTGGCCAGGAGGCTGGAGTCATGGTCTAGTCGTGGTCTAGCGGGATGCAGCAGTGGCAGAGCCAGTGGCTGCCACCTTCCTTCCAGCCCATGAGGGTCTGGACAAGGTGAGATGGGAAGGATGAGGTTGGAGTGGGCAGAGAAATGGTGAGAAGCTGTAAAAGGCTGACAGTGCCCCACAGGTTTGGGACGGACACATGGATAGACCTCTACCACCTCAAGTCCCTCAGGGTCCAATCCTGAAGCCCAGAAAAAAGTTCAGGGCACCTGGAGGGGTTGCTGCCATGGGGCTGCAGAGTTCCCTATTGTTAGTGAACACACACACACACACACACACACACACACCTGTCCCAGAGCTGCCAGGGCTGAGCTGGCAGGAGAGCTTGCAAGAACTTCTGCCCTCTTCCAGGCTGGTACCACAGTACACCTTCTCTCTGAGCCACGGGACGATTTGCTCCCACATTTGTTTACCTGAGCCACAGCCAACACGTTTAAGACATGCATGGCTTTTACAGGGCACCTGTGCGAGCATCATCTCGAGTGACACACAGAAGCACCTTGCAAATTGTGTTCACCTATTACGATCTGTCGCAGGCTACCTGCGAAGTCAGCAAGCACTTCAACCCTATTTTACAGGGCCAAGCAGCACCTTGAGGAAGTGAAGGGATTTGCCCAGACAGTTCCAGTCATTTTGCGGTGGGCCAAGGCTCCAACCCTTGGAGCCTGATGCCAAGAGGGAGAAGAGAAAATATCTTGGACACATTTCTGTGTACAGCAGCTGGGTGCCGTCAGAGGCTGCAGGACTTGACCTCTCCTCTGGGCTGCCATCTGACCATGCCCCCGAGGAATGCTGGCCAGCATGGAGGTCCCCAGGCCTAAAGAGGCAGGTCTGCGCAGGCTCTCTGAGCCTCTGTCTACCCAGGCAGGCCTGAGCTCTGGGGACGCCGTTTTTGTCTGTGGCCAGCAGGGGGCGCCCCAGGACAAATGACTTTTTCCGGACTCGCCCACAGGGATCACTCAGGAATTGTGTCCTTTATACACTCAGAACCCATGTCCTGCTTTTCCTCTTTCTGCCAAAACCTAGATGGGCACACATCTTCAATAAATTGTGTTCGGACAAGCCCTCTGCACTTGACACCCTTGATCAGGCCCAGTATTTTCAAGAGAAGGCCTTGACAATCCTTATAAATGGGGTTCATGCCCTAGGAGCTTTTTCCGAGATGGCGGGTCCTATTTATCAAGGAAGGGGCACAGGTAATCCTGGGGTTAGGGGATGGGAGATACTGATTGGAAGAGGCTCCCGGGGGACCCCTACAAGCATTCACCAGGGCCATTTCTTTTTCTTTCTTTCTTTCTTTTTTTTTTGAGATGGAGTCTTGATCTGTCGCCCAGGCCCGAGTGCAGTGGCGCGATCTCGGCTCACTGCAATCTCCGCCTTCCGGGTTCACGCCATTCTCCTGCCTCAGCCTCCCGAGTAGCTGGGAACTACAGGCACCCGCCACCACGCCCGGCTAATTTTTTGTATTTTTAGTAGAGACGGGGTTTCACCGTGTTAGCCAGGATGGTCTCGATCTCCTGACCATTTCTTGACACACAATCAACCCATTCCCCCATTAGGCCCCTCACTCTCAGGGGATCTGCGTGGCAGGAGGAGACCTTGGGACCCCCTCCCATAACACTCACAACAAGGCTTTAGCCTCCTAGAGCCCGGGCAGGTTTGGCTCTGACCCAAGGCCAAGTGTGTGTGTAGGTTCATCTTGAAGTCAGCTCCAGGGTCAGCTCAGAACTGCCCTGGCTGGGCAGTGTTGTGTGGGCCCGGAGCAGGCTCTGCACTGGCTGTGTTAGGGTGAGAGAGGGCAGCCTTGCTCGGGGGGGGGCGCTGTGCAGACGAGTGTCTCAGAGCGGAGTTCGGCGATGTGATTAAACATCACGAACAACAGAGTTAATCCCACGCCCAAGAAAGAAGTGATGGCGATTGCGTGGTATAATTGGGCAGAAAAGAAAATGTGTGTGTAAATGACTACAATTAATGCTGCTTTTGCTCAGCAAACCTTTCACAGCTTCCCGTTCTCTGCCGGTGCTTTCCTGTGTAAGGCAGTGTTGGTCATTTCTCCTGACACCAATTTCATAGCCATCCTATGTACCCAAACAGAGACAGGGATTTTCCTGGAGGCACCTTCCTTTCCCTACTTGTAGCCTACATGGTTTATGTGGTGCTGACCCCATGCCAACCTCAGGGGTAAGCACATGGTGCAGACATGCCCCATTAGAGTACTGCATACACTGTGCCCAGTGACTAGTGTAGGGATGACTGTGCAACCCAGTCACAGTCAATGAAATGCAGCTGGATTCTGGTTAGATCTGTAAAAAAAAAAAAAAAAAAAAAAAAAAATCTCTCTCTGCTGGCCTTGATGTGGGAAAAATGAGACCAGCCCATGGAGAGAGTGTGCCAGGGAATTATGTTGATTAAGAAAATGGCAAAGCAGAGGGACCAGGTCCTCTTGACTTTGCTTATCTGCTGGATCCAGCCATGCCCGAAGCGAACCTGAGCCTTTTAGTTATGTGAGCCAATACATTCAATTTTTTGCTTATGCTAATTTGAGTTAGGTTTATGTCACTTGCAACTAAAAATCTCCTATCTGCTGCATACTACATACTACATACTAGGGAGATTTAAGACCAAAGAAAGATGGAAGTGAGAGGGAACCAATCAGATATGAGGGCCTGAACTTGAACAGGTACTAGGGAGAGAGATGTAGCCAGATCCAAGAAGAACTCCGCAGGCATTGTCAGTGGGACTCCCTGAGTGACTGGATTTGTTGGAAGAGGGAGAGAGAGAAGTGAGGATGAGTTAGTGGGGGCAGGGGACAGTCTTCCATTTACAGAGGCAGAGACTATGAGGTGTGGGCATGTGGAAAGACACCAACTTCCACTTGGCAAATATGTAATCTGGGTGCCCCTGGGCATCCTGGCATTTGTCCAGTGGGCCTCTGGCTGTGTGTGTCTGAGGGTCAGAAAGCTCCAGGAGGCCGAGTGTGGTCACTCACACCTATAATCCCAGCATTTTATTATAGGAGGCCAAAGTGGGAAGATTGCTTGAGCCCAGGAGTTCAAGACCAGCCTGGGCAACATGATGAAACCCTGTTTCCACAAAAAATGAAAAAAATTAGCTAGGTGTGGTGGCATATGCCTGTAGCCCCAGCTACTTGGGAGGCTGAGGCACGAAGATTGCTTGAGCCTGGGAGGTGGAGGCTGCAGTGAGCCGTGATCCTGCCACTGCACTCCAGCCTGGTTGACAGAAGGAGACATTGTCTCAAAAAAAAAAAAAAAAAAAAAAAAGAAGGAAAGAAAGGAAAAAACTCTGGGCCTGAGTAAGCTGAGTGGTCAGCAGAGGGGAGCGGCTGAAAGCTTCGAGGGTGGAGATGTTCCCCGGGAGATGGGAGAGTGTGGCAGAGGAGGCGGGCCCATGCGCTGAGGGGCACCTATGTTAAGGGAGAACAAAATGCTGGAAACAGAGAAGAAAAGGGTTTGGAGCTGACCCTCCAGAGAGCCCTGTGGGAGTCACTGCCAGCCCCCTTGTTAACCTGGCTGCCACCAGCCTGGAACGCCCGTCCCTAAGGGCAGAGACTATGTCTGATTCATTCCCCAGGGTATTCCAGCAGCAGCCTGGTGGTAGGCACTCGGTAACTTCTGGGTCCATGAGTGAAGGAAAAGGGAAAGAGCAGAAGGGCTGGTGGACTACAGATTGGAATTTGGCCCAACTTCTTTAAAAAAAAAACAAAACAAAACAAAAAAACACATAGATTGGAACATTAGGAAACCAGGTTGGTGAGTTCCTTGGAGGGGGTGCCTTTGTCTGGTGCCTCTGTGAGGCCTGTCTCCTCCAATTTCAGGGCCAGAGTCCTCCCCACTCCCCTTCTCCTCCTTCTGCTGTCTCAAGTCACAGCCAGGGAGGAGCTGGCAGGAAAACAGGCCACTTGGTTTCATTTCCCTTTTCGAGAGCCTGGTGTTCCCTTAATGTATGTGTCCCCTGGCACCTGGCCCTGGCTCCTCTGCCTCCTCCCGAGGCAATGTCTCCACTCTCAAGGCTTCCAGACGCTTCCCTCTGCTGACCATCATGCTGTCTGCTCAGGCCTGGAGCTCTCTGACCCGCAGACACACACGACCAGTGGCCCACTGGGCAAGCACCAGGATGCCCAGGGGCACCCAGACTGCACAATTGGGATGTGGCAGCTGGTGTCTTTTCACGTTCCTGCTCCTCATACTCTCTGCCTTGGTGGATTACATGATCTTGACCCCCTGGCAGGTCCTTCTCTCTGTCCCCCAAACCCACTCAAATCCAGCTACTCCTCAAGTCCTTTTGAGGCTGCCTGCTAAGTTCTCAGATCTGCCCTTTGTTCTTCCTCAGGGCTTGCTGAGTCCATGCCCTCACACTGGCTGGTTCTGCTCATTCTTACCCATCCTCCTGGCTCCTGCTGTGATCTGAATGTTGGTGTTCCCCCAAAATTCATATGTTGGAACCTAATACCCAATGGGATAATATAAAGAGGTGATTAAGTCATGAGGGTTCCACCCTCATAAATGGGGCTCATGCCCTTAAAAAGATGCTCGGGGCCGGGCGTGGTGGCTCATACCCATAATCCCAGCACTTGGGAGGCCAAGGGTGGATCACTTCCGGCCAGGTGTTTGAGACTAGCCTGGGCAACATGGTGAAACCCCGTCTCTATTAAAGAGACAAAACAGATCCTCAGGGGGCCTTCTTTGCTCCTTCCACCAAATGAAGACACAGCAAGAAGTTGCGGTCCATAAGGAACAGGCGCTCGCCAGACACCAAACCTGCCAGCACCTCAATCTTGGACTTTCCAGCCTTCAGAACTGTGAGCAATACATTGGTATTGTTTATAAATTACCCAGTCTACAGTATTTTGTTATAGCCACCTGAATGGACTAAGACAGCCCCCAAGCTCCCTGACACTGCTGGCGCCTGCTGGGAACCAGACTCACCCACCCCCCTCCCCACCCCTGGGCCACAACTGCTGCCACCATCCACCAGTCTCCTTTGTTATTTCTTCCCCTTCCCCTTTCTCCCACACTTCCCCCCACCCCCAGCCTGGGATCCAGACACTGTCCTTGCCAAATGGGGTGGAGTGAACTCCTTAACATGGCAGGTGGGTACTAGGAGTGCCAGGCTGGACATTGTAGGTGAGGAGAGGCAGATGGCCTCCTGCACACACTGGGAGCTGGTGCACCACACTGACTGTGCTGCCTGGGGGCTGACGCAATGGGACACAAATCCGAGCTGTCCTGGCAGGTGTGTAGTGGTGTCTCCTTGTGGTTCTAATCTGCTGTCTTTTAATGACCCAATGATCCGGGGCATCTTCGATGTGCTCATTTGCCATTCATACATCTTCTCTGGTGAAATGTCTGTTCAAATCTTTTGCTCAGTTTTAAAAATTGAGTTTATAACCTTATTGAGTTGCAAGGGTTCTTTATATAGTCTAAATACAAGTCCTTTGTTGGATATATGCTGTTTTTGTTTACAGCTTTATTGAGATATAATTCACATACCATAAATTTCATCCTTTTAAAATGTAAAATTCAGTGGCTTTTAGTATATTCACAAAGCTGTGCACCGCTCATCATTATGTTGGTATATAATTTGCAAATATTTTCTTCCAGTCTGTGGCTTGCTTTTTCATTTTCTTAACAGATTCTTTTTTTGTTTGTTTGTTTTGTTTCGTTTGTTTTGAGACAAAGTCTCACTCTGTCGCCCAGGCTAGAGTGCAATGGCGCAATCTCGGCTCACTGCAGCCTCCACCTCCTGGGTTCAAGCAATTCTTGTGCCTCAGCCTCCCGAGTAGCTGAGAGTACAGGTGCGCATCATCATGCCGGGCTAATTTTTGTATTTTTAGTAGAAATGGGGTTTTGCCATGTTGGCCAGGCTGGTCTTGAACTTCTGATCTCAAGTGATCCACCTACTTCGGCCTCCCAAAGTGCTGGGATTACAGGAATGAGTCACTGAGCCCAGCCTTAACAGATTATTTTGAAGAATAAGCCTTTATAATGTTGATGAAGTCCAACTTACTGATTTGTTTTCTTTTATAATTTGTAATTTTGTGTTGTATTTAATAAATCTTTCCCACACCCAAGGTCATTAATATTTTCTCCTATGTTTTCCTCTAGAAGTTTTAGAGTTTAGCTTGTTCTCAAGCTGATTTTTACATATAAGGTAACTGTCAAGGTTCATTTTTTGTCATTTGGGTCATACAACTGTCCCAGCACCATTTGCGGAAAAGTGCATCCTTTCACCTTTCTCAAAAATCAGTTGTACGTGTGTAGGTCTTTTACTGCACTTCATTGTGTTTCATTTATTCATTTGTCTATTTTTATACCGGTATCACACTATCTTACTTATTGTGGCCTTATAATAAGTCTTAAAACGAGGTAGTGTGTGTCCTCCAAGTTTGCTCTTTTTCAAAGTTGTTTTGGCTATTCCAGATCCTTTTGCATTTACATATAAATAATTGAAATCAGATTGACAATTTCCACACACATACAAAAAAGCCTGATGGATATAATTAGGATTGCATTGAATCTACAGACCGATTTGAGGATAATTAGCAATAATACAGAGTCTGCTGGTTCATGAACATGAGATATTTCTCTTTTTATTTACATCTTCATTTCTCTCAGCAATGTTTTGTAAATTTTCAATGTTTGGGTCTTGAATTTTTTGACAAATTTATTCATAATATTTCATATTTTGATGAATTGTATAGTCTTACTTTTTTAAATATAAAAATTTAAGTCTTTGTTCCTAGTATACACACAATTTCTGTATTTCTAGTATATAGAAATACAATTGATTTTTGTGTATTGACCTTGTGTCTTTGTTAAACTCCCTATTATTTCTAGTAATTTTTTGTAGGAGCTATAAGATTTTCTACATAGATGATCACATCTTCTGTGACTAAAGAAGTTTTCCTTCTTCCTTTCTAATCTGTAAGCATGTAATTTCTTTTTCTTGCCTTATTGCACTGGCTAGAGCCTTCAGTATAATGTTGAATAGTAATGATAGAGAGAATATCCATGCCTTATTCTTAATTGTAGGAGGAAAGCATTCAATCTTTCACCATTAATGATTAATAATGACACTAGCTGAATAATTTTTGTAGATGCCTTTTATCAGGTTGAGAAAATTTCCTCCCATCCTTAGTTTGCTGAGAACAATTTTTGTTATAAATGGAGACCAGATTGTATAAAAAATATTTTTCATTTATTAAGATGATCATATATTTTTCTTTTTTTAGTCTATTAATATGCTGAATTACACTGATTGGTTTTTAAATATTAAACCAACCTTACACTCCTTACACTCCAAGTGGATAAACTCCACTTGGCCATGATGTATCAACCTTTCAATATATTGTTGGATTCCACTGGATAACATTTGGTTAAGAATTTTGTATCTATGACTATTGTGACAAACCATTCCCTATCTTGTGTGAGTCCAGGCGTCACTCCCGCGCTCCTTTCTGGTGGCTTTTCTGCAGCCTTAGGTAATCTCCTCTCACACAGGCATTGATCAGTGCTCAGCTGAAGGCACAAGGGAGGCCATCTGCAAATTGCCGGAACTTTCTCTGTGGGCAGCTTTCCCTTCTTGGATCCTCTGCCCTCTGAAAGCTAGCGCCATGGCTCCCTGGACTTTCACTCTGTTTCTTCAACTCAGGGAGGGTAGGCTCCACCTTGGTGCCCTCCTGCCCTGCAGCCTCTCCCCAGGCTGGCAGCTGGGCAATCCAACATGCTCGCCTTTGAGTCTCCTCCCTCGGGGGCCACTGTCTGAGCTGCCTGGTCCTCAATGTCTGAAATTCATTGTTTCCTGTATTTTGTCTGGCTTGTTGTTTCATCTGGGAAGGTTAATCTGGCCCCTGCTATTCCATCTTGGGAAGGAGATTACGTTTGTTTTTAGATAGTTGTGATCATCTGGCCATCTAATTTTATATCCTGCTCTTCTCACTCAACATTTTCAAATAAGCATTTTTATGCTTTTTATGCTTTTAAACTTTTCATAGATGTCACTTAGAGGAATGTGAAATGCTCTGTCAAGGCTGGGGCCAAGTGTCATCGATCTTGCTCCATGTCAGGATAGTCCCCCTTCCAGCCAAGTCAAAGGAGGTCGGCCCTCCCCACGCAGGGGCTCTGTCCTCCCTCTCACGCTCTTCCTGTCACTCTCAGACTTCCTCAGCAGAAGACGTTTTGTACCACGCACTTCAATGAGGTGGTGATTAAGGACTGCAGAAGAAGCGTTTTTCAATTTAAACCTATTTTTTTCTTGAATGGAGCAGGTGTCTCAAAGTCACAGTTACAGGAATGAAAGAATCACATTATTCACAATTTGCCTGTAATTAAACTCCTCCACTTTCTGAATGAGGGCCTGTGCCCAAAATCGTAATAACTACAGCTCCCACTTGAGGAGCCCTTACTGTCTTTGTATCAGGCACCATCTTGAGCACTGGAGCCAGACTGTGGTTTGCTCCAGATACTGGTGAACCTCAACAAGGCCTCTCTCTTGAGCCCAGAGCAAGCCAAGTCCTGTTGTTAGCTGCACTCCTGCTCCAACTGAGCTTCCTTTCCTCCAGCTCTGGGAGAGATCTGGAGGAGGCTTGGCGTTAAATGCTTAATCCTCGCAAAAACCCTGTGAGGGACAGATAGGGAAATTAGGGCTCAGAGAGGTGAATTAACTTGATCAAGGGCACACAGCAAGTTGGTGGTGCTGCTGGGATTCTAATCTGGACAGTCTGACTATGCTGGAACCATTTCTTCTAACCACTGGGATTTGCTTGGCTAATAGAAGCCCATTCACCCTTCTCTCTGCAAGAAGCCCAAGGGAGCCGGGTGGCTGAGATAGCCTACAGGTGCCAAGCCCCAAGGAACACTTCAGTCCTGGGACTGACCACGGAGTGTCTGAGCATACTGAAAGCCAAGAGTGACACAGAGGCCACGCTTCCGTCCTGGAGGGAGTGGAGTAGGCCCTCTGCCCAGCACAGGTCTCTCCTGCCCTCAGGCCCACACCCCTGCCCCCAAGTCCCAGTGCCCTTTTCCTGCCCCGACCTCTGAAAGAACCACAAATTCTTTAGTGAGATCAGTCACTGTCCTGCCCACCAACATTGCCAGCATGTTGCATTACAGTATTCTCTTCTGGAATTCTCTGGTTATCATTCTTCTAACTTTACCAATAAGGAAACCAAGACCGGGGAGCGGGGGGTAATTCATCCAAAGAAAGTGATGGAGACAGGATTTGAACTGAGGTCTGCTAAGGATTCTGTTATACTCAGCTGGTGGCAAAGTTATTTTAATTGACTGCAAGTCCTCTTGTCTCTTATCTCATTTGTGAATCTACAAGTACTAACTGAGCAAGTGGAAAACAGAAGGTGCTGTGTCCCTCCTGGGGGTTGTGAAGGATCAAGCAGATAACGGATATTGCATTCTTAATCCAAGGCAGCCCTGACCACACAAATTGATTCTGAAGCTTCCTCTAAACCATGCTGTGGATTAATTACGGTGTGGACCAGTTAGGGTCCTTGGTTAAGGGCCACAAAAGCAGACGTAACCAACTTAAGCAGGGAAAGTGCTTCCAGTTGAAAGGATATTGGTTTGAGCCAAGGGTGGCCAGGCCACTGAGGACTCAGCCACCACTGTACCTTTGAACCAGCCACTTATGGTGGCCCTGCCTGGCAGCCCCGCACCATGGCAGCAAGTCACACAGAAGACTCGGCTCCCTCTGCGAGACTGCCATTGTCACCATCACAAATAACGGCAACAAGTGATCTTTGCAGAACCCTCATGGGGCCCAGGCATGTGCTAAAGGCTTCTTCTGTTTTAACTCATTTTATAGATGAGGGAACTGAGGCATAAAAGGCAAAACAAGTTGGCCAAGATTCCAGCCGGTAAGTGGGAAAGCCAGGATTCCACCCGCTGGCTCATTCTGGAGCCCATGTTCTTAACCTCCACGGTTTACTTTCTTGCCATCACCTCATATGGTCCTTTCTTCCGGAGCCAAGGTCCCAGCATGGTTCCCAGCTGAACCCATGTCCCAGATTTCAGGGAGAAGAGGGGAGACCACTTGTTCTGTTTTGTGTTTTTGTTTTTGAGACAGAGTCTCGTACTGTCACCCAGGCTGGAGTGCAGTGGCACGATCTTGGCTCACTGCAACCTCCACCTCCCAGGTTCAAGCATTTCTCATGCCTCAGCCTCCCGAGTAGCTAGGATTACAGGCATGCACCACCAAGCCCAGCTAATTTTTGTATTTTGTGTACAGATGGGGTTTCACCATGTTGGCCAGGTTGGTCTCGAACTCCTGGCCTCAAGTGATCCGCCTGCCTTGACCTCCCAAAGTGCTGGAATTACAGGTGTGAGCCACTGCACCCGGCCAAAAGGAGAGCACCTGTTCTGCCTCAATTTCTACAGTGGGAGGTATGGCCCTGCATCTCAACTCTTTTGAAATGCCTCCGCAGATGGAAGGGGACTCAGATATTGGGCACTCAATAGCCTCAAGTGCCCCCACAGGACTGAAGTGACCCCTAATCAGGACCATTTGCCAGGTCCAGCCCTCAAAACCTTAGGCTCCCAGTGGGGAATCTCAGATACACAGTCTTTGGGGTCCTTAGCAAATAGGGTCATTCATGGGCTCCAGGGTAGAAGAGCTAACTTGTGGCATGGGCTGGTGATCCTTCATGGGAAAAGCTGGGCTGGGGTCCCCCAAATGCCTGGAGGTCATGTGCATACAGCCTGGGAAGCCACATTTCCCAAGAGGGTGTCGGCAGCCCTTGACCCCAGAGCTGGCATCTCTCACCCCATTTTCCCAAGAGACACAGCAGCTGCTTCCCCATCTCTGGAGGTGCATCTCAAGGAGAGCGAGCCGCTATCTTTGTTTGGCATTTTTCGATGTCAGCAGTAGAGAAGCAAAATCAGCCCAAAGGGCTGTTTAATTGCAATATAAAAAATCATGCTTTTTCAAGGGAAAAAAGGAGAGTTCTCCACCCCATCGGTTTCCAGTGCAATACCGTATCTGCTGATTCTGCCTCATTCAAATCCAAACAAGTACATTCATCATCCCAAAAAGTGCCATTCAAGCGGCTGCTCTCCGCAGGGCCATATTTTGCCTCAAATGTTCCCTAGCTCAATTAAGCCTGGTGCAAGCTACTGAACTCCTAGAGGAGTGGGTGCCAAGGGGGAGAGGCTCCAACAGTGCCTTGGAAAATGCTTTCTTGCTCCTCTCGTTCTCCCACGGTGGAAGAATCATCAGCAGGAGCCCTGGATGAAGTCAGGAGTCCCATCCCAGAAGAATGCCAGCTGTGACCCGGGCATGCCCCTTCCCCTCTTGAGGCCTCAGTTCCCTATCTGTAAAGGCAGAAGCTTGGGCTGGATCAGGGATGGCAAGTAGGTGAAACGTGCACCCCCGTTCTCGCTTCCTTGCTCATGCCAACATCCCTAATTACTCAGGGCTTTATTTACTGAGCCCAGATCCGATCGCAGAATCCTTCTCAACACAGCACTCCAGGCCACCAGCACTTGAGATGAAGTGTGCTACCATCCTGGGCTCCATGTGTCTCCTGGGTTCTTTCGAAGTCACACGCTTGAACCTTGGCAGCAGTGATAACAGCCAACAGACCCTCACTGTGTGCATCCTGTGGGCCAGACAGCATTCTGTGTGCTTTGCCTAAGTGAGTATTTAACACACCCAGCAACCTCATTACTAATGTCTGCACTTTATGGATGAGGCCGAGGTTACACAGATGGTTAGTAGAGGAGTTGGGATTCAGATTCAGGCCGTCTGGCTCCAGATTTGGAGCTCTTAACCCCTCACTAGGGTGGACACAAGTCAATCAACACAAAAACCAGCCTCTGGGCAGCATCAGGGGCTACACCTGGGTCATCTTTATGTCCCCATCACTCTGTACTCAGGCAACGTTTGTTGAATAGCAAATGAATAAATGAATGAGATGAAAATTAGACACTGGGAACAGCACAATCATAATGATATTAATAACTAATGGCTGCTGTTCATTGAGTGCAAACTCTGTGCCAGATGTGACACTGTCTCACTTGGGAGGAGCTCAATAAATATTCGTTGAAAATGACGATCCTAATACTTTCCCTTGGTGTCCCTCCCCAACTCCCACCCCACCTCTGCTCCTGTCTCCTGGCCAAGGACCAACAACCAGGAAGGAAACAGTCCAACCACGCTCAGCAGAGGCTTGTCAATTTTTTTAACTGTGACACACAGAAAGGAATTTGTTTTATACACACACCTTGAAACAACAGTCCCACAAAACAATATTTACCCTTCCTAATTGCAAAGTATTGTGATCAATTTCTAGTCTATCATATCAAAAGAAAACCCTAGTGGTGATGCACTAAGTCGATTTCTGGGTTCAGTAGTGGGTTATGTGATTTGAAAAACATCACGCGAAGGTCAGGCACTAATAAGAGTTGGTATCGAGTGCTTACTACCAACTGTGCAGTTAGTCATCCATTTGACTCATACAATGGCCCGGTAGTTAGGTCATTACTATCCCTATTTTTCAGATGAGGGAATTGAGACCAGAGAGCTTGAGTTACTTAGTGGTCCATTCTCAATCTATCAGTCAACTATTGCAGCAGAACAAACAACTTCAAAATCTCAGTGGTGCAAATCAATAAACATTTTTTTCTCACTCCCAAATTTGTGGGTTGGCTGGAGTAGCTCTGCATTCCATGTCTCTCATCCTCATCCTGAGACCAGCAGGCCATCCAGGACATCTTCTTTCCCCAGCAACAGCAGAGACACAGAACAAGCCTCACAGCAAAGCACATTTCAAGCCCTGCTGCATCACACTTGCCACCCCCAAGTCCCAGGGATGCACTGTTGCACTTTTAATTAAGCAATTTGGGCTCTTCAGAAGAAGAGAAAAGACACAGATCTACGCGTAACAGCACAGCAGCACTACATATTTCATTCTGACTGCTTTTGGAGTACGGAGTCAAATGAAAACAGCATTTAAAAGTCATCCATTCGCTTGAGTCCAGGAGTTTGAGACCAACCTGGGCAACATAGTGAGACCTTGTCTCTACAAAAAAAGTAGCTGGATGTGGTGGGGCATGCCTGTAGTCCCAGCTACTCAGGAGGCTGAGGTGGAAGGGTCACTCGAGCCTGGAAGGTCCAGGCTGCAGTGAGCCAAAATCGTGCCATGACACTCCAGCCCGCGTGACAGAGCAAGACTTTGTCTCTAAACAAACAAACAAACAAAAAATGTCATCCATTTACATACTCTATGGTAAGACTTACAGTTCTTTGTTTCTGTGCTTCCAGTGAACTTATTCCTTTAAGAAGGAGGGAAGGGAAGAAGTAGAAGAGGGAAGGAAGGAAGGAAGGAAGGGAGGGAGGGAGGAAGGGCGAGAGGGAGGGAGGGAGGAAGGAAGGAAAGAAGGAAGGAAGGAAGGAAGGAAGGGGCTGGGGGAGGGAGAGAAAATCCACAGGGTAGATATGTGGGTGAATGGCCTCCCATCTCTGAGCTGAATTTCTTCACCTTTAAAATGATGATACAGATGAATACATTCTTAACATGCCGTTGAATGACAAAATTAGGTTACAGCCCAGCACATAAAGGAGTGCCTCATTTTTGCAGCTTTGTATTTGTATAATATATATGCACGTGCATACATGTTTAGGTGCATAGAGAAGTCTCTGAAAAAGGTTCACCCAAGTCTTACCAGTGATTCCCTCACAGTGGTGGGATCTGGAGTGATTTTTGTTTGCTCTGTGTAATTGCGCTGTTCTGCGTGAATGTTTTTATCAGGAAAATTCATTACGTAGATCATCAGAGAAAGCAACAAGGACAGTCATAGTTTGCTAAACAAAACCAATATCACCAGTGCTGGTGCCCTGTTCCCTGTGCCTTCTGCTGGAGGCAGCCCCCACCCGCAGCCAGCCCTCTTTTGAAGCCTAGGCAAGCTTATCTCCTGGACAGGGTTCAGGCCCCCACACACTCCCTCCACATTCCAGCCTCATGTCCTTGTTCCTCCTGTTCAGCACCCTGACATCTTATCTTTCACATTCCATTTGCCTCCCCATTCCCCAGACGTTTAACAGCATGGGGTCAATCTCCACCACCACCCTGTGAGGCTGCAATGCATTCATCCATCCTTCCACCCATCCATTCGTTCATGCATTTTTCCATATAGTCACCCATCTATCCATCCATTCATCAACATTCACTAGAGCTCACTCTGTGCGTATGTCTGTGCTGGCTGCCAGGGACCCAGAGATAAATCAGATGCCAGCCTTCAGAGTACCCCAGGCTAGCATGCGCACGTACTGGCTTACAGTGGCATGGACAAAATGCTGCAGGAGCACAGAGGAAGACCTTGATTCTCCTGGTCTAACCCCCAGGTTTACAAATAGGGAATATCAATTATCACCTCCATTATACAGACAGGGCACAACAGAGGCCACGATGTCAGAGCTAAAAGGCCCTTGGGGGACTCTATTAGGGACAGCAAGCACATGGTGTGTGTAGCATCACTCCCTGCATCTCAAGACCATGGCAGACATTACTAATCAAACAAGCATCTTTCTCATGAAGCCGAGGCTCCTCTGAATCAATGTCAGTTCTCTGTTCCAGGCAGCCGTACCCGGCAACTGGAGTTGGCATTTGCATCATCAAGTCCAGTCTTGGATGGGGGAGTGGAGACTGACAGGCTCAGAGGCACTGAAGGTCACTGTGAGTTAATCTCCTGAGTTGTTCTCAGAGGGATCTGACCACAGAAGGGTCATGCCAGAATTTACTGTGTGCAGCTCCAACCTGCCTCCCTGCACCTTCAACAGAAGAACTTTTGCTGTCTCTGCCTTCTGCGCCCTAATGGCAAGGGAGGAGGCATGATCCTCAGCTGAAGAAATCCAAGAGGCATTGTGGCAGGTGGCTTTTTGGCGGACCCCATAAATTACCAAGTGGATTAGGAAGGATACATAAGCCGGAAGACGCCAGGCCCACACACAGTAACAGGCCCGGCCTGGACGTATTTCATTTCTGATCACACTGGACCGAGCAAGAATTATGGACAAAGTCCATAAACCTAAGCACTGTGCCTGATAATTTACACTGCCCACTGTCATTTTTAATGCATGGTGTCTGCTTCTCTCCAACCTGGGAACACTAAATCTGGCCACTTGAAGAACCACTTCACGCTACAATATGCCAGGAGTCTTTTTCCAGATTTGGTTCTCATGGATCATCTGCACCCACCAGGAGCCCTGAGTCCCCACCCGTAACCCTGCAGGGGGACTCAACAAGTGGTTGAATCTGGCAGAGCAGGCACTGGACACGTGGCCTGTATGTTACGCATCAAATCTACAAGCACAAGTGCCCAGATCCATACCCCTTCCCTCTAAAGCCCCATCACATTTTAGGCATTAGAAGGAGTTGAGAGACTTTGGAGTCACATGGACTTGGATTCAAGTCCTAATCCTGCCACTTATGAATGGCAGGACTTTGCATGAGGCATTTAAACTCTCTCAGCCTCAGGGCCCTCATTTGTAAATGGGCTACCAGCTCTGCTTCATGGGATCGTTGTGGGAGCCCGTGCTGAGAATATATATGCGACCCGTAACACAGCTCATGGCATCCAGTGGCCCTTAAACACAGCAGTTATTATCATGGGTAGTGTCCAGACACAGGATGATAGACTTGCCTTCTGTGGCCTCAATAAGCCATCCTCAGGCCAAGGTCCATAGAGTCCCCTGCTGAACACAGAGGATAGACTCTGTATGTGGTGGGTGGGTGGATGGATGGGTGGAATGAATAGGTGGAAGGATGTTTGAATAGATCCTATTTATGGCACAGAAAACATCAAGGCAGGGATTTGAGAGGGCTCAAATTTGGTCTCCCTGATGTCAGCCTCAAAGGTAACATTTCCTGCTCCCCTCAGTAACCCATTGCTCATCCACACTAGAGAAGCTAAGAATTTCCTTAAATCCTTCCCAAACCTATTTAGACCCTCAGCAGGCCTACCTAAATCCTGCCTGCCTCCTGCCTTGTTCTGCCACATCCAGTCTGAAACCCTTAACTTGGCACTCAAGGTCACTAGGACCAGGCCCACCCTCGTATCCCCTGAGCTGCACACAGCACGGTGTACTGTTAGGGACAGAGATGGCCCTGAGGAGTGTTGGAAGCAGGGCTCTGGACTCGGCCACTAGAGCCGAGGCACCTGGGGAAGGATGCCCTGACTGCAAGGGGTGCTGGGGACTGGGGACTGAGTGCTGGGTCCTTCCAGGCTGTAGAGCTGCTCAGGGTCTCAGGGTCTAGGCTAGCCCAGCCCGTGGGCAGCATTCCTTCCCAGCAGTTTTTTTTTTTTTTTTTTTTTTTTTTGAGACAAAGTCTCACTCTGTCGCCCAGGCTGGAGTGCAGTGGCATGATCTTGGCTCACTGCAAACTCTGCCTCCCACTTCAAGGAATTCTTCCACTTCAGCCTCCCTGGTAGCTGGGATTACAGGCACGCACCACCACATCTGGCTAATTTTTGTATTTTTAGTAGAGATAGAGGTTTCACCATGTTGGCCAGGTTGGTCTCGAACTGCTGACCTCAGGTGATCCACCTGCCTCGGCTTCTCAAAGTGCTGGGAATGCAGGCATGAGCCACCGCGCCTGGCCCTCCCCAGCTTTAATGGAAGGCTGCACCTTGTCCCACCGTCTGAGCCAGATGCCCAGGGCAGCTCAGGGCAGGGCCTTCTGCGTATCTCCTGTGGTCACTTGACACACAGTGAATTGCTTTTCAAGAACTCAGGCAGGAAGCAGTCCAAGGGGAGCCACTGCCTCATGACGAGTGACATTCGTAAGGTTCGATCTTCATTCTGCACAGGCGGGACTTGGCCTGTCTGGCGTAGGGAACTGGAGGCAGTGGCACACTCTGGGCCACCACAGCACTGTGGTACTGGGCAGGGCGCCGAGCTCCCCGGCCCTGCCAGGCCTCCTGAATGAGGCCAGGTGGGGCTTCACTGGGGAGAGGTGTCAACAGGGATACAGGTGCTAAGGTGCCCTGGAGGAACCAAGTGCCAGCTGCCCGCTGCTATTCTGACACTTAGTTTCTTCCTTTCTAAATGAGTGCAGTGGCCACTCCCACTTTACTGTATTATTCTGAGGATTAAACAGACAAAAGGCATAACAATAATAATGGCTTGTATTGGTCCAGCACTCCACAGTTAACAGAGCCCTTTTCCTTGCCAGGAACACAATTCAGTGAGTACTTCCGGCTCTCCTGTCAACTGCTACCTAAATTTCCACCTGAGATTTACCTGCCTTCATCCTCCGCCTGGATTGCTCCCTCTCGCCCCTTCCCGGAGGGGCAGTGCTTTGTGCCCCAAGGGGAGGCAGCAGCCAGGGCGCTTTCCTGCCGCTCTCCTTCCCATCCTTGCTTGAAGGCAGGTTTAGTGAGGAGCTGAGGAGCGGGGAGGTGCTGGGGGAGGGGGACCGGGGATGCCACAGAGGAAGCCGGCTTTCCCGCCCGGACAAGATAGGAGAAAGGGAGATGTCACACCCCAAAGTGTCTTGTGATACTCCCCACAACCACCCCTAGGTAGATACAGATCAATACCCTCATTTCCAGCAGCGGAGGGGTGGGGTGCTGAGACTCAGAGAGGGCAAGAAGCATATCCCAGCCACAAGGCTAGGAGGTGGCAAAGCGGTGTCCAAATCCATTCTGTCTGGGTCTTGGCTATGTGGCTAGATGGGTGAGTGGGGAGTGGTTGGGTGGGGGACGGTGAATGGATAAGATTTGGAGGGTTCAGGTTAAGCCATAAGTTAATAACAAAACAAAAGATTGAATCAGGCTTCGTCCCTGAAGTCCAGGGCTGCTCCCGGCCCTCTCCATTCTGGGCTCCACGTAGCCTCTGATCAAGGGCAGGGGAGGGTTTTACCTGGGCAGAGTCTCCGGAAAGCCCAGGGTGGAGTATGGGCAGAATAACAGTATAGGAGGTTGACTTCCTTCACCCCTGTCCATGGAAGGGCTCCCCCTCCTCCTGTCCTCACCCTGCTCTCCGTGTCCCTGGAGGTGTGAGGGCACAGCTGGGGCGCCATCTGGCAGCAAAGCTGTAGTGGGAAGTCCTGCCCGGGTGGAATCTGTATTAGCAGGCTCCGAGCCTCTGGAATAGTCACAGCACTACTTCTGTTAGAGCAGAGGAAGGCCGCCTGGTGGGCGGTGGAGGGGGCAAGAGTGTGTGTCCCCTGGGAGTCCTGGAGTGGCCCAACGCAGAACTGTTTCCCTTGCCCGGCCGGCTGCTGGCAGCTGCTCATCATCAAAGGCTCGGGCTCCTCCATTATTCACCAGGGCCCGGGCTCCCACAGCCCCCCCATCCCCCCGCCATTCCACACGCACTTGGGCCCGCTCCTCTCCGGGCTCCTCTTGTCCCTGGAGCTTTGCACATCAAACGCTTCTCTTTCTCTGTGCCTTGTTTCATTTTTAAATATACTCATCTCCTTCCTCATCTCCTAGTCCATCTGCAGGGACAGCTTTTCCTTGCAGTTGCTCAAGCCAGAAACCTTGGGATCATCCTAGAGTTCTCTGTCTCTCCCACCCACACCCATCCACCAAGTCTGGGGGCTCCCACTTCAGATTCCAGTATCCACCACAGCTCCTTCCTAGGCCCCAGCGCCACCCCCAGGCCTGGACCCTCATCCGCTCTGTTCTCCCAGCTTCCGCCCAAGGCCCCGGTAGTCCCCTCTCAGCTCAGTGGCTGCCGGAGTGAGCTGTTCAGACCCGGTTAGATCACGGCTCCCCTGCATGGCCCCCTGCTCACTCCTGACTGTGGCTCTCAGCCAAAACCCACCCCGCCGCCACCGGATGAACTCTGCTCCCATCTCACTGGCCTCCTGGCCGCTCCTGGTACCTGCTAGCATGCTCCCACCTCAGGGCCATCCTGGGGTATTCTACATGGATATCCGCCAGGCCCACCCACCACTCTCTTCAAAACTGCACCCTGCCTCCCAGCGTCACACACCCCATCTCCTTAACATGCTCTCCTTTTTCCTTCACTCGCAGTCAGAGCCTTCTAACAGCTACACAGTTTATTCATGTGCTATGACTGTTGTTCATCGTCCCCTGCTTAAGCTCAACAGGGGCAAAGATTTCTGTTTGTCTTATCCATCTTTGTATCTCAAAGCCTAGCCCAGTGCTTGGCACGTTGTAAGCACTCGATAAATATTTGTTGAATGAGGCAGGGCACAGTGGCTCATGCCTGTAATCCCAGCACTTTGGGAGGCCAAGGTAGGTGGATCACCTGAGGTCAGGAGGTTGAGACCAGCCTGGCCAACACGATGAAACTCCGTCTCTACTAAAAATACAAAAATTAGCTGGGCCTGGTGGTGCATGCCTATAATCCCAGCTACTAGAGAGGCTGAGGCAGGAGAATAGCTTGAACCCAAGAGGCAGAGGTTGCAGTGAGCGGAGATCGTGCCATTGCACTCCAGCCTAGGCGACAGAGCGAGACCTCATTTCAAAAAAAAAAAAATTGTTGAATGAGTAACATAAAGGTTATTAGAAAAGTTCTCACTGTACAAGTAACCCACCATGCTGTAAAATGTAAGGAAAACAGAAAAGAAAGAAGAAAATTAAAATGATTACAGTCCTATCACTTAAACACAGCTTCTCATTAATATTTGGGGATAGTGTCTTCTAGTTCTTTTTATTAAAATTTATATAACAGGTACCATGAATTGCTTGTCTACTGCCTTCCAGACACTATCCTAGGCCATTTCCAAATAGCATCCTATGCTTTTTTTACAATAAGCCATGTGGTAGGTGTTACACCTAGTTTTCAGATGAGGAAACAGAGATCCCTAGAGAGATGATGAAATTTGCTCGAGTTTATTTAAACAGTTGTCTTAACGATTGTGTTAGTACTGGATGTAGCATTTTTTTGTCCTACCTTTTCCACTTAATTATTTGGGGCCGGGCGTGGTGGCTCACATCTGTAATCTGAGCACTTTGGGAGGCCAAGGCAGGTGGATCACTTGAGCCCAGGAGATGGAGACGAGGCTGGGTGACATGGCAAAATCCCATCTCTACAAAAAATACAAAAATTAGCCAGGTGTAGGGGCACACGCCTGTAGTCTGAGCTTACTCGAGAGGCCGAGGCAGGGGGAGGATCACCTGAGTTCGGGAGGTCAAGGCTGCAGTGAGTCGTGATCACACCATTGCACTCCAGCCTGGGCAACAGAGTCAGACCCTGTCTCAAAAAAAATAAAAATAAATATTGGATCATGATAATGTCCTATGTCATTAAAACTGTTTGCAAACGTAATTTCTAATGACTACATGACACCTTTGCGAAGAGGATATACTACCATTTCCTGAACCCATCTCTTATTGTTTAGAATTGTTGATATTCCTAACCCTTTATTATCATAAATAAATGAATATTCTTAAACACAACGCTTTTCCCACATTTCTGATTATTTCCTTCATCCAGATTTCCAGAAAGGAAAGACCCATGGGAGAAGTTGTACAAACTTCCGAAAACTCTCTGCATGCCTCTGCCAGCAATGCGTGTTGTTGACTGCAGTGGACGGGTTCAGATCGTGTGTGCTGGGGTGACGGGGGAAGCATCTAAGGTGTTTTTCCGTGGTGCTTTTGTCCTACTCATGGACTAGATCAGCTCATGTTTCTCCGTGCAAAGCCCTCGTTTGTTATTGAAGCCCCAGCCCTCGGTGTGGCTGCAGCCAATGCCTCTGGCCTGTTGCATTAATATTGCAGGCAGGGCTCCTGAGGACCTAAATATTTGATCAGAGTGTGTGCCAGGCTGCTAGTGAGCTGTATTCAGAGCAAATTAGACTCTCCTCCCCTTTTGCTGCACCCAAGGCGGCATGCTCGGGGCCCAGCCGCCATCAGATGATGTGGTCAGTTGTCTGTGGAAAGCCGATCATGGTGGGAAAGACAGGCTAAAATGATAATGACACATCTTACAGCAGCCCCAAGCTTCTCTCTTTATATTCCACACCTGACAGTGCAACAGCATCCCTGCCATCTGAGTGGGTGGGGAAGGCAGATCCGCAATACCTAGCCCGAGGCCTGGCGCACAGTACGCCGGGCATATTCACCTGTGAGTTTGTGGCTTGTCCCCAGGAACCGGGGATGTTTACTTAATTCATTCGGTTTATCCATGCACCACTGATTAAGCACCTACTGAGGACCAGGCTTCATGCTATTGACTTTGCAGAGATTATTTCAATTGTATTTAGAACAGTGCCTAGCATACTGTAAGTGTTTAAAAAGTGTTAGCTGTTACTATTATAATAAATGCTATCATTTATTTATTAATATTTATAATCTCAATTCTATGAAGAAGGTATGATCATTATTCCCATTTTACAGATGAGGAAAGAGGGGCTCACAAACTTAGCTAAGGAGTCCAGAGGCTGACCACAGTGGACCTAGACAATTCACTTTGGACCTAGAGCTGGACATGAACACTGTGGCCCAGCCTAGGCCCTGGGGCTGCCTGGGACTCTCACCCATCTATGCAGGCTCCTCTGGCCCAGGTCTCAGCCCCTGCTCCTCGTCTGGCCTTGGCCATAGAGAGAGAGAGACGGACAGACAAATGCCTGGGGCCAGTGGGTCTGCCTCACTCTCCCCTGACAGGCGCCATCCTGATGGGAGAAGGCCCCAGTCCTCATGGAGGAGGCCCCACTTCGAGCTGGCATCCAGCCTCTCCCCTTTTCAGGAGCTCCAGGGTCCAGGTGACAAAGGCCTGGAAGGAGAGCAGGAGTCAGTGTGGGGGTGCTGGAGGGATGATATAGTGGAGATGATGGTGACGGAGGGGCCCCTGAGACAGTTGGCTGGCCCTCAGAGACATTGATGCAGAGCTGGCACCCCAAAATGAGGCCGTGTGGAGCAGCCCTGTCCCAGGCCTCAGTGAAAACTGAAGATCTGCCACTCTCCAGCCATGACTCACCTGTCTGCCTGGGGGTACCTCTTCCTTGCTTGGGTAGCCCTGCCTTCTGCAAGAAGTGTCCTGTTCCCCACCATCTCCCAACTCTTTCTGTGACACTAAGGGCTGTCTCATGTCCCACAAATCATTATTATCAGCACTTCTAGCAGTATATTCTGCCAAAATAATCAAGGAGATGGGCAAAGATTTAGTCTCAGTGGCATTCATCATGGTGGTGATGACAACACTGCTACGTCCGCATGGCTGGACCCACTCATGCACACAATCACCCATTCCCTCCCTCATTCATTCATTCAATCCTCACACATGTTAAGAGGAGCAGGGTAGCTCTCCTCTACCTTAAATCCTGCAATGACTTCCCATTGCATTTCGAATGGAAATGCAGCCTTCACCAGGCCAACAGGGCCCTAAGGATCCGTCTCTCCAGTGTCTTTCCTCTTCTGGATGGGCATCTGCAGCTGTGTCTGTCCCACACTCTCCTCCCACATCTTCTACTCCTCTTCAGTCTCAGCTCAGCCTTCCTTGCTGGCCCTGGCTGGTCAGCCTTAGCTGAGATGGCTCCCTATCGGGGGTCACTCTGTCCCATTACTACCGTGTTTCAGTTGCTCCATAAATTATCTCAGTGAATGCTTTTTGTCCACTCAAAATCTCAAAGCCCCATGAGAACAGGGACTTATCTTTTTCCGGGTTCTACTTCGAGTGACCATGTTCGTGCCTGGCATGGTGGAAGGAAAGAAGAGAAGGAGGGCTGGGGGAGCTGGACAGACCCCGTGGGCTCTGGAGTCAGCTCTGCTGCTGAGACCAGGCAGAAGGGCAGGGGAGGACCCTGAGACCCAGGACCCCTGGTGCCCAGGCTGTGGGGGGGGTGTCTTTTTCTCTTTACTCTTCAGGAGAGGAGCAGGACAGGTATTCCCTTGCCCATTTTATGCATGAGCCCAGGAGAAGATGTGGACAGTCCCCGGGATCAGAGGTGCCAGCCCTCTCCCCAGCATTCCCGACACCCGCACCCCCTGCCAGGTGAGGCTGCTGCCCTGCTTGGCATTCCAGCCGCGGCGCCTTCCCTCCCTCGCTTCCCACTGTGCCGGGAGTGGGTTTGTGATAACGTCCGAATAAATTATTGAAGTGACTTTCCCTGAGGCTGAGATGCAACTCCAGGCTGATAACCGTGTGGGGGCTGGGAAGGCTGGGCTCCTGCATCTGCCAGGGCTGCTTCCTCCAGCGCCCCGATGAGCCTGTTAATTATCCGGCTGGGGTGGGGGGCAGCAGGAGCTTCTTGCTCTCAAGGAAACCAAGCCAGGAGGCAAGGCTGGGGTTGCAGGGACCACAGCCGTGGCTGGGCCTCACTCCTGGCTTCTTCATTCATGGTCTCCTCCCTAAGACAGTGGGAGGAACTCCTAGAGCACCCCAAAGTAGGCAGTGCACACTCCAAGGAAATGGGGTGAGGAGCCTCTATATGGGGTGGTGGAGGGAAGGGTGGGGGACCCCCTGTGGGATACGGCAGGGGGAAGCGTGGGGTGGGTGCGAAGTAGAGGACCCCCACGGGGGCAGAGGTTGTTGCCTGAGGAAACAGGTTGCCTGAGGGGCAGAAGTAGAAGCTGGGCCTCCCAACACCTGGCGTGGGTATAGCTGGGGCACAGGCATGCCTGTGGGATGCTGCAGCGCTTCCCCATGACTGGTGGGCAGGGGTTGCAGGCAGGGGCTGCTCCTCCTTGGAGGGTAACGGCACAGTCCCCGGGAGGTGAGGTAAAGCTGACTGCTGCTGGGCAGCGGGCAGGGTTGAGCCACATCCCAGGTGTGTGAGTGGTGCTGTCTGTCCTGCTTTTTCTAAGAATCAGTCTGTCTGAGGTGATGAGAGAGGGGCCCTTCGTCTCAGGTGAAGGCCCAGGGGAGGCCCAGTCACCACCCAGCCCTCCCACTGCCAGCCCCTGGTGCTGGCACGACCCATGGCTCTGAGACCTCAGCCAGGGCCCTGTGAGACCTCAAGTCTCTGGAGGGTCTGGAACTCGGTGGCCATGCCTGCCTGAGGGCCTGCTATTTCAGGGCTCACATGACCCCCACCCCAAGTGAGGGCTGCTGTCTTTTCACTTAGGGGAGCCTCCTTCCTCCTCCCTCCTGAGCTTTCCTCAGAAGGCTGCCGTCACAAGCGTCATTTTCCTAAGGTGGCTTAGAAATCCCAACCAGGAAGGGCAGGGTCTAGCAGAAAACTTCTGCTGGGGGCCCTGCCACAGCCCCCCAAGTCAGGAGAACAGAGCCCCTGCTTCAAAGAGGAAGAGGAGAAATACAGCCCCCCAAAAACAACCCAAATCAATATCCCAAATTCTGTTCCTGCCCCTCTGTAATCATTGGTAGTGGCAGCACTCTTGGAGGATACCAAGACTTATTCTATCTTGTACTAAAGTGGGTGACAGGGTGGCCTGGTGGCTATGAGGGGCAAGGCAGGGCCTAGGGCCTAAGGTCAGGAGTCATGGTGGGAGGGGCATTCTCAGTAGGGAACAGGCACCTGAGCCTTGGGTTTCTTTCTAAAAGTCCCAAGGCAAGTGGGTGGCCAGCTGGTGGGCTGTGTTTTGGGTGTCCTTGAGACATTTATGTTTGGGAACCAGTGTGGGGCAAAGGGCTCAAGCCAGGCAGGTTGGAGACCTGGCTGCCATGTGTCGGCTCTGTGACCTTGGCTGAATGTCCTGGTCTCTCCTGGGATCAAATGATACTCCTGCCCCAGCCTCCCGAGTAGCTAGGACTACAGGAAAGCACCACCACACCCAGCTAATTTTTTGTTATTGTTTATAGAGATGGGGTCTTGCTATGTTGCCCAGGCTGGCCTCAAAGTCCTGGCCTCAAGAGATCCTCTTGTCTTGGTTTCCCAGAGTACTGGGATTACAGGCGTGAGCCACTGCACCCAGCCTGTGGCTTTACCATAAACCACCTGCATGCAGTGAAGCCCAAGCTCTCCTCCTATGGCCTCAGAGCTGTCCAGTCTGGGCTGGTGCCAGACCCTCTAGCGCTCGGCACACAGGAGGTGCTCATGAACCCCAGAGGACCTTGACGTAGAGAGCTGGTGTGGTGGATGCTGCGGTAGCCTAGGAAACGAAGAGGCCAGGGGTGGGGCCCAGCCACAATTGTGGGCCCTTTCTGGGCCTCAGTTGCCTTACTGCCAGTGGGGACCATAGTTGCTGCCCTCTCCACATGCAGAACACAGGTGAAATAATAATGGCTAATCCTCATGAAGTGCTTCCCAGGGGCTCTGTTGTCCCGAGAGTCACCTGTGTATTACCTCATTTAGTCCACATACCAGCCCTGCGGGGTAGACACTGTTACTCCACTTTACAGACAAAGACGCACGGAGGATTAGATAACTTGCCCAGAGACACAGCTGATTGTGGTGAAGGCTGGCTTCAGAGTCACTGCTCGGGCCCTTCACACTGCAGGTGGCAGGCTCAGGAAGGGGTATTTGTGCTCCAGCTTCTTGGGTTGTCAGAACTGGTTCTGGTCACCTCCTAAACACTGGCAGGACTTGCCAGGGCCACAGAGCCTGATGGTGTCTGGGCTTCCTGGACTGGGGAGCTCTGCTTAGCCCCGTCAGAGTGGACCTGAGCAGGCTGAACCCCAGGGCTCAGGCTGTGGGTGGGACTGTGGGAGGAGGAAGAGAGAGGGTCTGCCGCCAGCGGACTGGGCAGCAGGATAGACTGTCAGCAGGCAGCAGCAGCCTTGGCGTCATTCCCAGTCAAGGGCAGAGCTGCGTCCCTAGAGCCGCCTCCCGCCCCTGCCAGGACCCCACAGTTTCTCCTAGGGGTGAAGAGTGGCTGCGGCCCTGGGAGGAATGGCTGAGGCCGATGCCACATGGTGAGCCTAGGCACCCGGGCCCAGCTGGCTCCCAGCCCATCCATTGCTGGGATGGAAAGGGCAGGCAGTTGGAAGGGCAAAAGAAGGAAGCAACATGCCCACAAAGCCTCTGCTGGGCTAATCCTCTTCTAGTCCCCACACGGTACGTTGCGTGGAATGGTTAGGACAGCCTGTTTAACAGAAGGGAAACTGAGGACTGGCAGTGTGGAGGAAATAGACAATTAAAAGCAAAGAGACAGCTGGGCAGGGAGTGTTTGCAGCCCTGGAGGCAGATACAAAGTTGCACCCGGGCTAAAGCCTGAGAGACAGCATTTACTGAGCACCTTTTTTGTGCCTGGCAATGTGCTCTGTTAGCTCCATTTTACAGATAAGCAATCTAAGGTTCAGAAAAGAGGAAGCAGCCAGCCTCGGGCCATGCAGCTGGCTGAGTGAGAGCTCCTAACTTGTACTTTCTCCCCTCCCCGGAAGCTTTGGTTTGTTGGGGGAAGCAGATTCATATCAGACCCAAGGCAACTCAGCTGTGATTGAGATAGACATTGAGTCTTTTGGGAGACAGAAGGGAGGGAGAGTGCCAGTCAAAAGGGTTTCGTGAAGAAGGTTGCATCTGACTGGGACAGTTAGGCCTCTGTGTACCACTTTAAAAGGTAAGACAAGGGGAAAGAGGGCATGGGGAAAAAGGACTTGGGGACAGAGGGCATGGGGGCAGGCAGGTGAGGGCCGTGCTTGGAGAATTGTGAGGGGTCCTGGGAGGCTGGATCACTGGTTGTGGGGAAGGGAGGGAGGCCAGGCAACCCCTGATGGGGTCCCCTGGGGAGATAGCCCTGGGGCTTGGAGCATGGGGATGGGAAGTGACTGGGAGGACGCTGCACAGGGCATGGGGTGTGGGGAAGTGAGTGCCAGGGAGCTGGGTGTGGAGCCAGGCACCTGCCGGGCTTCTGGGTTCCCCCAGCAGCTCTCAGGGACTCAAGCTCTGCATCAGGCACACCTCAGTTTAAGTCCTGGCTCTGCCATTACTAGCTGGGTGGCCTTGGGAAGTTGCTTGTCATCTCTGAGGCTGGCTTTTCCCCTCTGTAAGGGGAAGATAACCATAGAACTCCCTCCAGGGGTGGCTGTGTATGGCAGCTGTCAGCGCTCAGGACATTTCACTTAACCCTTCTGACCTAGGAGTTAGGAGCTATCATCGCCCTCGTTTCGTGAAGGGCTGACCAGCGACTGATCATGGCTACGATGTAAAGGTGCAGACATTTTGACCTCCCATGGGATAATTTAGATGGGCCACATGGGCTCCAGGGATGGCTGAAACTCCGTTGGAGCTGCGTCACTGTTCACCTTCTCTCTACCAAATCCTGCTTCCTCCCTATCTCTTCCCCAGGTGTTGACTTTTCTAGTAAATATCCTCCATGTCAAAGTCTATCTCAAGATCTGTTCCAGGACAACCCCGCCTGCAACAGGGCCCATTTATGTTCCAGCCAGCACGGTGATCCTGAGTCTGGGAGGGTGCCCACAGACTGCTTTTGTGAGCAGCATGCCTTCAGTGGCCAGTCCCCAAGCCCCTCAACTCCATGTGGAGCAAGGACCAACCACCCCATGGAGAAGAGGAACCCGCCTGCAAGGCGAGCCAAGAAGGGACCTTTGGAACCAGCCACACTGGACTCTGTAGGGGGCTGGATGGCTGGCCCCAAAAGGATAGGTCCATGTCCTAAGCCCCAGAACCCGTAAATATTGCCTTATTTGGAAAGAAATTCTTTGTAGATGTCATTAGGGATTTTGAGATGAAGAGATCATCCTGTATTATGCAAGTGGGCCCTCAATCCAATGGCAAGTGTCCTTACAAGAGTAAGGCAGGGCTGGGTGTGGTGTCTCACACCTGTCATCCCAGCACTTTGGGAGGCCAAGGCAGGAGAATAGCTTGAGGCCAGGAGTTCAAGACTGGCCTGGGCAACGTAGTGAGACCCTCCATCTCTACAAAAAAAAAAAAAAAAAACAGAAAAAAACCCCACAAAGAACTAGCCAGACGTGGTGGCACATGCCTATAGTCCTAGCTACTCAGGAGGCTGAAATGGGAGGATGGCTTGAGTCTGGGAGGCAGAGGTTGCAGTGAGCAGTGTTGCGCCACTGCACTACAGCCTGGACAACAGAGCAAGACCCTGTTTCAAAAAGAAAAAAAAGCGGGGGGAGTGAGGCTGAAGGAGAGACACACACCTAGAGAAGAAGGTGATGTAAAGATGCAAAAATAGGGCCAGGCGCAGTGGCTTACGTCTGTAATCCCAGCACTTTGGGAGGCTGAGGTGGGCGGATCATGAGATCAAGAGATCAAGACCATCCTGGTCAACATGGTGAAACCCCCTCTCTACTAAAAATACAAAAATTATCTGGGTGTGGTGGCGGGCGCCTGTAGTCCCAGCTACTCGGGAGGCTGAGGCAGGAGAATTGGTTGAACCCAGGAGGCAGAGGTTGCAGTGAGCCGAGATTGCACCACTGCACTCCAGCCTGGGCAACAGAGTGAGACTCTGTCTCAAAAAAAAAAAAAAAAGAAGAAGTAAAAATGGGAGTGACATGGTTACAGCCAAGGAAGCCGAAGAGGCAAGATGGGAGCCTCCCTCAGAGACTCCAGAGGCAGCACGGCCCTGCCAATGCCTTGTTTCTGCTTCAGGCCTCCAACGCTGGGAGAATAGAGTTCTGCCGCTTTTGAAGCCACTCTGTGAGAATTCCATACAGCAGTCACAGGAAACTAAGATAGCTCCCACACCCAGTTTCCACTTCACAACCTTGAGAAGCTGGGGAAGCCGTTCTGGAGGTGCCAGGGACTGGGCACCGAGCCAGCCTGGGCTGGGGTCAGAGGCAAGAGGAGAGCTCTCTAGAGGAAGCCTTTATCTTGGAGTTTGTTCTTGAGTAGGAAGTGTTCACGGGGCAGGTGGTGGTGGTGGGGCGGCGTGTGCATAATTTTCAACAGCCCAGAGAACTGAATATCATGGGGCTGTCTAGAAATTTTGACTTGCAGATATGGCAGGAATGGGAGGTACCTAGAAGGGAGAGAAGGGAGACATAACTCAACAGGAGGCCAGGGCCCGGTCGCAGAGGCCACTGCGTGCCTGTGGGAGGCTTGCTCTTGATGTGAGATTTTTCTTCTAACTTTGTATTTTAGAACAGATTTAAAGTTTCAGAAACGAATTCCAAGTTTGTATAGAGTTTATGTATACTGTTTCCCCTAATATTAGCATCTTACCTGAGTGTGGGTATATTTGTTACAATTATTGAACCTATGTCAGTCCATGAACTGAACCTATGTCAGTCATGAACTGAAGTCCATAGATGATTCAGATTTCCTTTGTTTTCCCGAACGTCCTTTTCTGGGCCGGGACCCCATCTAGGACCCCACATTGCATTCAGTCGGTGTGTCTCCCTAGGCTCCTCTTGGTTGTGACAGTTTCTCAGACTTTCCTTGTCTTTGATGACCTTGACAGTTTTGAGGAGACTGTCCTTCAATTCGGATTTGTCCCGCGCTTTTCTCACAGTTAGACTGCGGTTGTGGGTTTTGGGGAGGAAGACCACAGAAGCAAAGGGTGATTTTTACGCCATCATAACAAAGGTGTGCCCTGTCACCATGACTTACCTCTGTTACCGTTGAGCTCGGTCACCCGGCTGAGGTAGTGAGACTTCTCCACTGTAACCCTCCCTTTCCACACTGCACTCTTTGGAAGAAGGTCACTATGCACAGCCCACACTTAAGGGTGGAAAGTTATGCTCCAACTTTTTTTTTTTTTTTTTTTTTTTGAGACAGAGTCTCACTCTGTCGCCAGGCTGGAGTGCAATGGCGCGATCTTGGCTCACTGCAAGCTCCGCCTCCTGGGTTCAAGCGATTCTCCTGCCTCAGCCTCCTGAGGAGCGGGGACTATAGGTGCCTCCCACCACGCCCAGCTAATTTTTGTATTTTTAGTAGAGATGAGGTTTCACTATGTTGACCAGGATGGTCTCGATCTCTTGACCTCGTGATCCGCCCGCCTGGGCCTCCCACAGTGCTGGGATTACAGGTGTGAGCCACTGTACCCACCCACTATGCTCCAACTCCTTGAGGTGTGAGGGGTTTTAAGCAGGAAATTTGCATGGTAAGATTATCTTCTTAAAACCCAGTGTTGACAAAATGTGGGGAAGTAGACAGACACCCTTATATTCTGTTGGTGCAAGTGTAGTTTGGAGCAGTGTTTTAGGGGGACAATTTGACACATCCTTCAAATGTTACATGCATATACCCTTTGACCCAGCAAGTCAATCCTGCAGAAATGTCCACCCACAGGCAGAGCGATACCTGGACAGAATTCCAGTGGTGGCACTGTTGGTAGCCAACTAAACTGTGAAAAGAACCGAATGGTCATTTATAGGGCAATGGATGGGAAAACTGGGAGATCTGTATCATGAAATACTAAGTAGCCATCAAAGAGGAGTTAAATCTACAAGTGTGGACATGTGAAGTTCTCCAAGATAGGTTACAAGTGCAAAAGTCGTCACAGGCATATTATATGTGTGATCCGAATCCACTACATGAATAAAAAGAGCTGCACATTGGTATGTGCACATATGGATGGAAGGTGCATAGCGGGACCCACAAGGAACCAGAACTTGGCGGCTCTACGGAAAGGGACCCTGGGAGTAAGGGTGGGGACTGGGGAGGAGGGCATTTCTACTTCTCATTTTATACCTCTCTGTAGTGTTTGACATTTTGCACAATAAGCAAGTATTGCTTTCATGATAAAATGTCTTTAATATTAAAAATATTTCTTTGAAGTTTTGCATTTGAAGAAACCTCCCGTGGGTGCTTGTGAAGGGTGAGGTGGGGGATCCAGGGTGGAGTGGAGAGACCCATTAGGAGCATCCAGGGTGTTTATATGGCACCTGGGACACAGGAGAAGAAGGTGGGTTGGGGAGTTACTTAGGAAGCAGAATCGAGAGGACTGGGTATTTCTTGGTGGGAATGGGGTGGGGGCAGAGGGTGTTTCCCACAGGGCCCTGGCAGGAAGCAGATGGTGCACTCCAGATGGGGAATGGAGAAGAGTAACCAAGGTACTTGTGACTAAAGCCGGGACATGTTAAGGGAAACTAACAAGGGATGGTGCAGCACCTGGGCTGGCCACATGTGGGAGATGTCACCACCCCCAGGCAGAGGGAGGGCAAGGCCGCCGGAACCAGACAGGGTGGCTGTGGGAGAAGGTGCTTGACAGGAGGGACCAGCCTACCCATGGCCTGGAAGTAGGGGGCCTGGAGCAGACACCCCAACCTCACTCCTGCTTCCCCATCTCCTGTTGGAGATGGTACCTCCCGTTGGCCAAACCCAACTGGAAACCACAGAACTTGCCCATGCAAAGCAGCCTCCTGGGTGACAGCCAGGTAGGGAAGAGTAGAGGGGACTCAGTACCCAGAGGGAGGGGTCTAGGTTGATATCCAGATTCCTGGCTTGGGTGCCTGAGGGATGAAGGGTCCCTTGGAGGTGGGGACAGAGGAGAAGCAGGTTTGCGGGAGGGTGAGAGTACCACTGGGGTCTATTTCAGGTGGAGTGGGCTACCTGCTTCACACACAGCCCCGCAATCTGTTGGTGGTGGTGGGGTTGAGATATTGGGCTGCAGCTTGGATCCCAAAAGGCCTAGTTTCCCATGCCAGACCCTTTAACTACGGTGACCCTTTGAGTTCACCCACCCCGCTCAGGCACACAGGCCTCTGTCTGAGTGTAAAATGGGCCCTAGATGGCTTTTGTTGGGGGCACACATCAGAGGCGCTGGGCCTCCCCCAGTTCTTCAGAGTTGTCAGGGTCACTGCTCTGGGACCCACGGACTCGTGGGTGTGTGATCTGGCCCTGTAAGGCAGCCTAGGGACACAGGGTCTCAGGCTGGGTGAAGGAGAATGGAGGGGGTGTCTTATCAAAGCTTACAGGGACTAGCCTCGGGACTGGAGGGCCTTGGGCCACAGCATTATACCCAGGCAGGAGCAGATCTTGAAAGAGCTTGATTTTCTATGAAAGGGTCAGCTGTGAGGGAGGCAGTGGGAGGGGGCACAGTCCCACCACCCTGTAGGGGACTGGAGTTCCTCCAGGATGGCGACCAGCTCCTCAGAGGAATGAAGACCCCAGAACAATGTAAATAGGGTGTTTGCAGGGAGAACAAGGAACCCATTGGCACCATCAGCACATTCCACAGGATTCTATAATCAGATTAGCTCCCAGGAGGGCCCAGGAGGGACGGGACAATGGGGTGGAGCAGAAAAGGGGCCAGGAACCACCTCTGTGCTGAATTTGCCTACTCTTCCCTTCCCTATCCCATTCTAATGCTTTTAAATCTCTCCACCTGATTGCCCCTCACTGATCCTAAGGGGAAGCAGCCTGTGTGAGGAAAGGGACTTGTCTAGGGTCATACGCATTTGTCAAGGACTTACTCCTGACCTCGAATTCTGCCCTTTCTTTGTGGGAGGCTATTTTCCCAGCCCCCTTTGGTGACAGGCTCACCCCCACTCCCTACAACGCTGGTACATAATTTATGAGATCCAGTGTAAAATGAAAATGTAGCGCTCCTTGTTAAAAAATTATCAAGCATTTCAGGATGATGCCTGCAGAGCATTAAACCCTTCCGAATGCAGAGTCTTGTGCAGTTGCACAGATCGCAGGCCCTGGCAGCCGGCCTCGCCCTCAGTGCCGCTTAGTGCTGGCCTCCTCCTTCCTCCACCCCATGGCCCCAGTCACCCCCTAGAACCCAGCACCCCATCTGCCCTGGAAGAAAAGCCCTCCTAGGCTCCAGGTTAGGCCAGGGGCTCCTGGGTGTCCTACAGACCCTGGGTGTCCCTAGATGGCACTGGGAGGCATCATCTCTAGCAGTCTGTGGGCTTCCTGAGGGACTCCCCCAGAGTCTGCAGCACCTGGCACAGGCCTGTGGGTATTTTGTGAGTGACAGAGTGTATGTCTTCTGGCTAGGACATTTAGGGCAGCTTGGAAGCCCCTCCCACTCTGACTCCCTGCGCACAGCCAGGGGAAGCTCCCAGACTCAGCACTTCCTTCTGGGTTCACCCAGGTCCAATCAGGACCCACAGCCAGGCCTTCCCATTCTCTGGTTCCCCACGTGTGGGCGGCAAGCCACCCAGGCGCCAAGGCAAGAGACCGAGGACACGAGCTGTTCCAGTATAATAAAATATAAAACAAGAATAGTTATACCAGATATAGATCTTAGATATGATTATATATGAATATCATTAATCATTAGTTTGTAGCAATTACTCTTTATTCCAATATTATAATAATCCTCGCTCTATAATCATAACCTAGGAAAAACCAGGCCATACGGAGATAGGAGCTGAGGGGACACAGTGAGAAGTGACCAGAAGACAAGAGTGCGAGCCTTCTGTTATGCCCAGACAGGGCCACCAGAAGGGCTCCTTGGTCTAGCGGTGACGCCAGCGTCTGGGAAGACGCCCATTGCCAGGCGGACCGTGGTCTAGCAGTAGCGAAAAGTGTCATGGAACAACACCCGCTACTTAGCAGACCGGGAAAGGGAGTCTCCCTTTCCCCAGGGGAGTTTAGAGAAGACTCTGCTCCTCCACCTCTTGTAGAGGGCCTGACATTAGTCAGGCTCGCCCGCAGTTATCTAGAGGCCTAACCGTCTCCCTGGGATGCTGTGCTTCAGTGGTCACGCTCCTAGTCCACCTTCATGTTCCATCCTGTACACCTGGCTCTGCCTTCTAGATAGCAGTAGTAAATTAGTGAAAGTACTAAAAGTCTCTGATATGCAGAAATAATGGCGTAAGCTGTCTTTCTCTTTGTCTCCTCTCTCTCTCTGCCTCGGCTACCAGGCAGGGAAGGGCCAGCCCCCTGTCCAGTGGACATGTGACCCACGTGACCTTACCTATCATTGGAGATGACTCACACTCTTTACCCTGCCCCTTTTGCTTTGTATCCAATAAATAACAGTGCAGCCAGACATTCGGGGCCACTACCGGTCTCCGCGCATTGGTGGTAGTGGTCCCCGGGGCCCAGCTGTCTTTTCTTTATCTCTGTCTTGTGTCTTTATTTCTACACTCTCTCATCGCCACACACAGGGAGAGACCCACCAACCCTGTGGGGCTGGACCCTACACCCACTCCAGGATGGGATGGCCCCTCCCTTTATTGGAAAAAAAGTGAGGTCTAAGGCAGATTAAGGCGATAAGGGGATTCCGCAGAGAGCAGCTGTAAAGCTCTGTGACAGGGTGAGAATTAGTAGATTAATATCCGGGGCCAGGTTCTGGGCTCTGGGCTCTGGACTCTGGGCCCACATCTTTGCTGATAAGTGTTGGTTCCTGTCCTTCCAGACAGAAGGAGTTGTACTTCTGGAACAGATAATTGACATTATTCCCATTGTACAGATGAGAAACTACAGCTCAGAGAGGTCAAAATGCTTAAAGATGGCTGATGTGCAATTTAAACCTAGTTCTGGCCCAAACTGCCTCCCAGGTCCTTGGGCTGAGTCATGTCCTGCCCCTACCCTCATGGCCCTCACTGTCTAGTCACTGAGATACACACGGAGTGAGACACACAGGGAACTCAGTGGAGGGAGAGGTCTTTGTGGGTAGGGCAGTCATGGGAGACTTCCTGGAGGAGGTAGAGGAGGTAGACAGATGAGCTGTCTTTCAAGGTCAAACGTTATTCTCTTCAGGGTACCTGTTGCAGGTGTGCAGAACAGCCTGAGCAAAGAGGTAGAGGAGGGCTGGACAAGGAGGGTCTGGGATCTCCATACAGGACCTAGGAGTCCAGAGGTCCTGACAGGGGTCCCTGGGTGGACAGCAACCAGGCTGAAGCCCTTGGCCTTTGTCCTCTGGGCCAGGGAGCTCTGGATGGGGGCAGGCTGGACACTCTGGGGCAGCTATACGCAGGAAGGGGCTCTATTCTGGGCTGCAAGAAGCAGAGAGGAGCTCAGCTGCAGGAAGGCCATGGGGTCAAACATGGGGCGGCAGAAGGAGATAATCAAGGATCTGTCTCACATAATTTGTCCTGCTGACTAATTCCTGGCCCAACTTGGTCCAAGGATCTGCAGAAATCTCCGTTCCAGCAGGCAGCCCCCCACTGCACAGGGTGACAGCAGGCCCAGAAGCCCAAGGGTCTGCCATCTCTTGTTTGGGTGCTTACACTACCCAGGTCCCAGGACAGAGTTACAAGAGAGGAAGGCAGTGATGATCAAGCTCCCAGAAACACTCATTTGGCAGATGGAAACACTGAGGCTGGCAATAGGAAAGGACTTACCCCAGCCTATACCCCAGCTAATAGAGGGAGTGGCAGGCTGAGTGCATTGATCTAGGATGGGTCTTTTTGTTCTTTTTGGAAAGAGGAACAAACATCGGTGAGCATGCACATGTCAGGGGCCACTGGGGTAGGCATTATGGTTTGTCTTGAGTGTGTAATATGACATCAAGCTCAGAGAGACTAAATTCCCTGTCCAAGGACACACAGCTAAAAAGTGGGCAGGTGACTTCTTTACCAAGTCTCAGTTTTCTCATCTGTGCAAGGTGGGATCGGGCTGGGAGAGGCTCACAAGGAGCAAAAAAAAGGGCTTGAGAACCTCTCCACACTTGTCCATGAGACTGGCTCCTGGCAACCAGAGTTAGATCTAGAGGCTTGAATGTATAGCAAAAGTAATTCATAGACAGTATTGTGAACTTCTATCAGGAGGAATTAAATGTGAGGTTGTCCTCATTTTGTGATATTAGCTGCTATTTAAGAACATTGACTAGATCCATTTTCCCATTATTTAACTAGGGCTTGCAAAATGAAGATATTCTGATATTTCTTTATCATTTGTTAGCTAAAATATCTCTATCAAGGGAAATTTCTCTTTTTCAACTATTAGTTTACCATGAGGCATAGTCACTGCAGGTGTTCCAGTCTAAACAAGTATGTGATGGGATTAAATTTGCCTTTTCTGAAAGAAAATCT
Organism: Homo sapiens; assembly: GCF_000001405.40. Classification (NCBI taxonomy): domain Eukaryota; kingdom Metazoa; phylum Chordata; class Mammalia; order Primates; family Hominidae; genus Homo; species Homo sapiens. The sequence goes on along the minus strand of NC_000001.11, from coordinate 53,358,710 downwards.
CAAAGGACCAAATAGTGTAATATAAACAAAGAAAATTGTTAAGCAAATTGTTTACAAAGTTGTTTACCTTGTGGTAAACTAATAGTTGATAAAGAGAAATTTCCCTTGATAGAGATATTCTAGGTAACACATGATAAAGGAATATCAGAATATCTTCATTTTGCAAGTCCCCAAAACCACTATACTTTAAAGATTCACAAGTAAATTCTTCAAAGCCTTTTAGAAATAGATATCTCCAATGCTACATAAGTGGTTCCAGAGCATAGAAGAGCTTCCAGTTATTTTTCATGAATGCCATTTAACATTGATAGCAAAATGCAAGAAAGCACAGAATAGAACACAATAAGTCAGCTCACATTAACATTGAGGTTGCAACTATCCTAAGTAAAGAAATAGTTTTAGGAATATACTTTAAAATACAGACACATATTAAGGAAATAGCTTACTGTTGTAACAAACCTTTGGAGTTTATACCAGAAATGCAAGGATGGTTCAATTTTAGAAAATCAACTAATTTAGTTGATTTTACATTACATTACATTACATTACAATCAATAATGTAATATTAATATAAATGTCATGTAAATATAGTACATCAAAAGAGGGGAAAATCATGTTATTTTCCCTATAGATATCAAAAAGGCATTTGATAAAATTCAACATCCATTCCTGATTTTTAAAAACTTCTTGATAAAATAGAAATAGGTGGATATTTCCTTAATGAGACAATATCAAAGCAAATGCCATCCATTTGCATAATGATGAAAAATTTGAAGGATTCCCAACAAATTTGTGAGCAGGACAAGGATGTCCCCTTTCACCAGCCTTAGTTGACATTACTTTGGAGATATCAGCCACTATAATTTCACAAAAAAGAGAGGTATAAGTATTGGAAAGAAATAAAGAGACAAAAGTGCTGTGTTATTTGCATATGATATGATTATACACTTGAAAAACCTTAAAAAACTATTACAAATAAGATGATTTGGTGTGATAAATGGGTAAAAATTAAAATATAAAAATTAATAACTTTCTTATATGACAATGAGTTAGAAAAGATAAAGATTCCATCTATAAAAGTAGCAAAAATTATAAAATATCTTGCAACACATTTAATAGGAAACATGCAAGATCTATATAAAAAAATTTTAATGTTACTGGACACCTAAAACACAATAAGAATAAATAGAAAGAGGTGTCCTATTTTGGAAAGGAAGATAGTATTTTAACAAAATCAGTTCCCTAAATTAATGTATACATTTAGAATGATTCCAATAAAAATGAAAATAGAGTTCTTCCTCAATATATAATGGCTAGAATATGGTAGATATTTAATTTTAGCTTATGTGAAGTTCAAAATAGATATTCCTGATTGGCAGGTTTTTCTCTCTCTGTTTCTTTCTCTCCCTCCCTTTCTCTCTTTACTTCCCCTCTCCTATTCAGATTTCTTTAATCCTGTGTCTCTCTTGTTTTCAACACATGGTTTCCAAGGTGACTGTGCTCATCTGCCTCCAGCTGGTAGAGGAACATGAATGACCAAACATTGAAGGTTTTTAAGGCCAGTCCTAGAAGTGATACACATCACTTCCACTCACATTCCATTGGCTAGAATTCAATCAATCATATGACCACATTTAATTACAAGAAAGGCTAGGATATGTAGTCTATCTGGTTGCTTAAGAAATAGAAGAATTGAGTTGAAGCACTTTTTGTCATGGGAAAATTGACAGATTCTAAAGGTCACATGAAAAACATTCAAGGATAGCTGGGGAACATTATAGATAATTTTATGCAAATTTTGACAACTTAGATGAAATGGACAATTCCTTAAAAATGCAACTCTAGCAAAACTGACAAAAGAAGAAATAGAGAACCCAAATAGTCCTATATCTACTAAAGAAACAAAATTTACAATAAAAACCCTTCCCACAAAGAAAACTCCAGGTCCAGATGGTCTTTGCTGGTGAATTCTATTAAACTTTTAAGGAAGGAAGAAATAATACTAATTCTACACAAACTATTTCAGAAAATAGAGCTTTTAAAAATCAGCAATAAATGCCAGTTTTTGTCATTTATAGAGAAAATAATATGAACACTTCCTAACTCATTTTAGGAGACCAGTATAATCCTGATATCAAAACCCAGTAAAGATACTACAAGAAAAGGAAGTGCAGACAAATATTCCTCATGAATAGAGATGTGAAAACTTGTAACAAAATATTAGTAAATTGAATCCTGCAATATATTAAAGGAATAATACATCATAACCAAGTGAGATTCGTTCCAGAAGTGCAAGATTAGTTTAACATTCAGAAATGAATGTAATTCACCATATTAACAAAATAAAGGAGAAAATTCACGTGATTATTTCTATAGGTGCAGAAAAATCATTTGGCAAAATTCTAAATCTATTCATTATAAAAAAACTGTCAGCAAACTAGAAGTAGATAGTAAATTACTCGAACTGATAAAGGCCATCTACAGCTAACATCATGCTTAATGGTGAAACATTTAATCTTTTTTTCCTAAGTTCAGCAATGAGGCAAGAATGTGTATTTGACGTTGAGTTGGAAGTTTTAGTGCATTAAAGTAAGATAAATAAAAGGGGCCAAGCATGGTGGCTCACACCTGTAATCCCAGCACTTTGGGAGGCCAAGGCAGGAGGATCACTTGAGGCCAGGAGTTCAAGACCAGCCTAGGCAACATAGTGAGACCTTGTTTCTAAACACACACACATACACACACACACACACACACACACACACAGTAGCCTGGCTAATGATAATTAGCTACTCGGATGGCTGAGGGGGGAGGATCACTTGAGCCAAGGAGGTTGAGGTTACAGTGAGCCATGATCATGCCACAGCACTGTAGCTTGGGTGACAGAGAGTGGCAGACCGAGACCCTGCCTCAAAAAAACCAAAATAAAAAACACAAACGTTGGAAAGGAATGAGTTAAAATGTGGAATTTGCAGATGATATATTGTTCAATCAGAAAACTGTGGAATTTATGAAGAATTCCTAGAACTAGTAAATAAATTTAGCAAGTTTGCAGGATATGAGGTGAGTTTATAAAAATCAATTTTATTTCTATATACTAGAAAAAAACAATTGAAATTTTAAAATATCATTTACATTGTCATCAGAAAATATCAAATACTAGAAACAGCAAATAAAATATATGTAAACGTGTCTAAAAATATGGCTAAGAGAAGACTTGATATGGTTAAGATGTCCATTCTCCCCAAAATGACCTATCGATTCAACACAATCCCTATTATAGTAAGAGTAGGCCCTTTTAAAGAAGTAGACAAGTTGATCTGAAAATTTACGTGAGAATTTAAGCATCCAGAATAGCTAAAACAATCTTGAAAATGAAGAACAAGTTTGAAGAACACTGCCTGACTTAACGACTTACTATAAAGCTACAGTAATCAAGACAATGTGATATCAATGTAAGCATATGCAAATAGAACAAAGGAACAGAACGTAAAATTCAGAAATAGATCTCATGTATATGGTTGAGTTTCAACCAAAGGACCAAAACAATTTACCGGGGAAGGAACTTCTTTTTGAACAAATGGTGTTGGAACAACTGTATATCGACATGGGAAAATGTTAAAGTCCTTATCTCACTCCAAACACAAACATTAATTTATATGGATCGTAGAAATAAATGAAAAAGCCATAATCATAAAATTTCTAGGTAAAAAATAGAATGTTTTTGGGACGCTGAGGTAAGCAAAGATTTCTTAGAAGTCAGGACATAAAATAACCATAAAAGAAAACAATTTATAAATTTTGAAATTAGACACTTCTGCCATCAAAAGACATCATTGAAAAAATGACTTTGGGATGCAAAAGCGGTATTATCGCTTGAGCCCGGGAGTGCAAGACCAACCTAAGCAACATAGTGAGACCCCCATCTCTACAAAAAAAAAAAAAAAAATTAGCAGGATGTGGTGGCATGTGTTGGTGGTCTCAGCTACTCTGGAGGCTGAGGTGGGAAGATTGCTTAAGCCCAGGAGGTCAAAGCTGCAGTGAACCATGATTACACCACTGCACTCCAGCCTGGGTGACCCTATCTCAAAAAAAAAAAAAAAAAAAAATAGTGTGCGTGTGTGTGTGTGAGAGAGAGAGAATGAATAGGTGAGTTACAGATTGGTAGAAAATATTCACAAAACATAAATACGTGTATGTCTGTGTGTGTGTGTGTGTGAGACAAAGGACTGGTATCCAGGATATATCAAGTACTCCTACAACTCAATAATTAAAAAGATAAACAACCTAATTTTTAAGTTAGGCCAAAGATTTTCATGGACACTTCACAAAAGTTATGCAAATGGCCAATAGGCAAATGAAGAAATGCTCAACACCATTAGTCATCATGTAAATACAAATTAAACCACAATAAGATACAACCACCCAACCACCAGAATAGTTAAAATTGAAAAGATTGACAACCCCACAAATATAGCAAATGCTGTAGATCAGTTGGAATTCTTATATACTGTTGGCAGGAATAGAAAATGGTACAACCATTTTTTTTAAGTCTGATAGTTTCTTATGTGACATTACTTTGGAGATATTAGCCTCTATAATTTCACAAAAAATAGGGGTATAAGTATTGGGAAGAAATAAAGAGACAAAAGTGCTGTGTTAACACCTACCCTCCACCAAGAGAAATGAAAAAAATAGCAGTTACACCAAGAGAAATGAAAAAATACGTTCACAAAAAGATTTGTATAAGAATGTTCATAACGGCTTTATTCATAGTTGTCCAAAACTGGAAACGGTCCATGTGTCTATTGGTAGGAAACTGGCTAAAGAGACTGGATTATGCATGTAATGAAACATCGTGGAGCAATCAAAAGGAGCAAACTGTTGCTTCACAGAACAACCTGGATGAAATTTTAGAACAAGCCAAACAAATCTGTGATGAAAAACCTCAATTGTTGCCTCTGGGATGATGGGAGTGGAGACTGACCAGGAAGGAGCATGAGGGAATCTTCTGGAATGATGGAAATGTTTTATGTTTTATTTTAAATAGTTACACGTGTATATGATTGCCAACACTTACCAAACCAAACACTTGAAAATCTATGCATTTTTTATATCTAAAATAGACCACAATAAAAACTAAAAGAAGAGCTAGGAAGATAACAAGAAATAAAGAATCCAGAATTAGACACAAACACATATGAGAATGTAGTTTTTCTAATGAGTGGGTAAAAATGGATTATTTAATAATGATATTTAGGTGACTGGAAAAAAGTAGGTTGAGACTGCATATCACTTCTTACACCGACATTAATTTTGAATGGATCAAAGATCGAAAGATAAATAAATGAAACCACGAAAGTACTGAAGCAAACATGTTTCATTCTTTTGTTGTTCTTTGTCCGGAAAGGCGAAGGCCTTTCTCAAAATAATTCAAACCCAGAAGTCGTAAAAAAAAAAAAAAAAAAAAGATAAATATGATCACACTAAAATTAACCACATCTGATTGGGGGGGGGAGGGGAATACCACAAATAAAATGGAAAGAAAATGAATAAACTATTATATAAAGAGAGACCACTCTTTTTTTAAAGATTAATAACCCAAGAAAAAAATGGGCACAGGGCATGGACAGATGGCTCACAGAAAGTATATGCAAATGGCTTCCAAATACATGAAAAGATGTCCCCCTAAATTACAATAAGAGAAGATGCCAATACAAATGACATGAAGTTACAATTTTCCCCAGCTAGATAACACAGATAAAAAATTTTGATAATATCTTATGTTGGTAAGAGTGGAGGGCAGTAAACTCTCTCCTGCCTTGTTAATGGGAATATAAATTGATAACTCTTGGGAGGACATTCTGGCGATATCTATCAAATACAAAATTGCACTCACCCTGTGACCCAGGCATTCAGCTTCCAGGAATTAATTCAACAGATACACTTCCACATGTCCAGAAAGATGAATGACAGAGATATCCATTGCATCCCTGTTCACAGTGGCAAATAATAGCCATCAGGAGGATGCTGGTTAAATAAATGACTGTGTCTTGATATAATGGAATTCCTTGAGATTGCTTGAAGTACACCAGAGCAGTTGAATGTGGTCCCTCAGAACACAGACTCTGGAGCTAGGATGCCTGGCTCCTAACCCCAGCTCTGCCATTTACTGACTGTGTGACCTAGAGCCAGTTCCCTAACCTAATCTCTCTGTGCCTCAGTTTTTGTTATCTCTAAAATGGGACTGGTAAGAATGATAATGATGATAGTATAATAACAGCAGCAACAACAATAATAACAATAATGTCACCTACCTCAAAACTGTGCTGAAAATTAAATAAGCAAATATACACAAAGCATTTAGATCAGTGGTCTATGGTAAGGACCGTGTGTGTAGGCTGCAATTGTTACTGATCTAAAACAATTTCCAAAATATATTAAGTACAAAAAAACAAGATATGGTTTCAGTGATATAAAATTGGAGTCTTCAGGATAGTTCTACATACTTATGCTTGTATAGGCATGAAATATCTCTAGAAGGGTACATTTTAGAACAAGCAAAACAAATCTGTGATGAAAAATCTCAGTTGTTGCCTCTGGGATGATGGGAGTGGAGACTGACCAGGAAGGAGCATGAGGGAATCTTCTGGAATGATGGAAATATTCTCTGTTTTATTTTGAATAGTTACACGTGTATACAGTTGTCAAAACTAAAAACTACAAATTGCATCTGAGGAGTAACCAGCAGTGGGAGACACAGTTCTTACCGAGTAACTTTTATACTTTTACGTATTTTTTTTTACAAAGTATATGTTATCTATTCCAAAATTTTAGTATCAAAAAAGACATACTTTGAAAAGAAAGTCCCTTGTGTTCTGATTATGGTGGTGGTTACATACGTTTGTACATGAGTTAGAATTCATAGGATTGTACATCAAAAGAAAAAAATAAATTTTACTACATAATTTTTTAAAAATTAAAAAAGAGAAAGTCCCTTTGGCCTCAATACATAATACAGCGCAAGCCTGGGGGATGGGACACCAGCAAGGAAGTGACTGCATTTTGTGGAGGAAGAAAGTCTTGGAGCCAGGGAAGGAACCACAGCAGCGGGAACAGAGAGAAGAGGGTTCGGGGCTGTGTGGGGAGGCGCCTGGGCTTGATGCTTCTGTGAAACACACACTGTCTGCCAGGCACTGTCCCTGTGCTCTCTCCTCATCACAACCCCAAGAATGGCAGCTGCAGCCATTCCTAGTCTCTGTGAGGTTCAAATGACTGGCCCGGTGTGTAAGCAGCAGGGCCTCTGAACCAGGCCTGTCTGACTCTAAAACCTGTGCTCTTTTTAGCACAGGAGGTTCCTTTTCCCCCAGTAAATTAGATCCAGGGGAGTCTGGGAAGACTTCACAGAGGAGGCGACATTTGAACTGGAGCCTGGCTGAGTTTATCTAGGACTTCCATCCTGCACAATCCTAAGCAGTGCCATTCACAATGTGTTCTCTGGGACTGGGTCTCCCTGCAGTTGTGCAGTGCACAACCTGCACAGCCATAGGCAGCAACTCTGAGTTCTTCACACAGAGATGGAGGTGTATGAGGAAGATTTTGCTGTATAACAAGTCACCTTCCAAATGCAGTAGTTGCTTTAAAACAATCGGCATTTACAGGCCAGCAGGGCAGTTCTTTTGATCTCAGCAGGATTTGTTCCTCTACCTGAGTCAGCAGGTGGGTCAGCTTAGGGTGATCAAACATCCTGATTTTCCTAGGACTGTCCCAGTGATAGCCCTGAAAGACCCATGTCCCAGGAGAAACCTTAATCCTGGGCAAACTGAGACAATTCGGTGACCCTGGTTGACTAGGGGCTGTCAGGTCTGGGTGGGCCTGGGCTGCGGTGGCTGAGGCCTCCCTCCATGGGGTCTCTCATTCTCCAGCAGCCAAGCCCAGTCATTCTCATGGCAGCAGTGATGGGCCAGGACAGTGAAAAGAAGCATGTAGGGCCTCTTTCTTACAGCTGAGGCTGAGAACTGGCCTGTCATCGCTGCTGCCACATTCCGTTGGTCAAAGCAAATCATAAGGCCAGCCCAGATGGAGGGGTAGGAAAATGGCACCCCACCACCACCCGCTTGATGGAGGAACTGTGAAGTCACACTGCAAGGGTCACAGATATGGGAGGAGGGTGGAGACCTGGGGCCAAGTGTGTAATCAACCTGTCACAGATGGGACATCCTGACTCAGGTGCAACAATAAACACAGTGACATCAACACAACTGCCCAGTGGAACCATAAATGCTTATTGTTTTAAACCAACAGGTGCAACTGGGAGGCAGTTTATTACACAACAAAATCCAATTGACGCACCTTCCCTAACTCATCTGATATATTTGGGGAGTGGCAGGAAGTTCAGTGTGGCTGGAGCATGGTGGGGCTGTCGGAAGGTGAGGAGAGAGAGAGAGAGAGAGAGAGAAGAATGGCTGGGGCCAGGTGTTTTCTCCTAGACCAGCAGGATGAGAATAGGAGAAGGACCATTATTCCTTTACACAGGTGGGAAAGACTGAGGCCCAGAGAGGGCAGTCATGCGCTCAAGACCACACAGCCAGTCAGCACAGTCAGGGATTGGAGCCAGGACTTTCCCTGCTGGGCCAAGGGAGGACATGGGAGGAAGGAGGGGCTTGGAGGTACTTTTGTAATTTCTTTACTCAAGGCCAAGAGGCCATCAGCTATTTGTAAAGAAATGGGGGTGGGGGCTACTGTTAGAGATGGGTGGGTATTGAAATCACTGGAACTCCCCAGGGCACTTGCACTCCTGCAAGCCTGTGTTTATTTCTTTCTTCAATTTGAATGATTTTTTTTCCTTCAAAAATTCCCTGGTGCTCCCTCCGTATTATTAGGTAGCAAATGGATCTGCAGGTGTTTAATGAGGTTGGAAAATAAAGGATCCAGAAGCCTTGACCAGGGTTCTCTTGCCTCCCGGGGAGGCCCCTCAGGCCAGGAACCAGGCCAGGTCTAGGGGAAGGGCCTCCCCGGCAATGTTCTGACCAAACCAGCCCCTGGCAGTCCCACTGACCGGCCACTGGCTTGTAGCAACTTTGGACTAGCCACTTCCCTCCTGAGACCTTGGGCTCCTCCTCTGTAGCTTGATGGGGTAACAAGGTGAGACTCAGTGTGTGTGGTAGGATTAGAGACACCAAGGAGCATCCTGGCATTGCAGGCCGGAGGCCTGGTTTGAGCAAACTGGTGGTGGCCAAACCAACAGGGACCTGTGCAGGGGACATTACTACCCCCAAAGTGGCTTAGAGGAAGTTGGCAGAGTGCGGCACCCCACCAGTGACTGTGAGGAGACAGGAGGGGCTCTGTCCTCTCTTGGAAAGGGCAGACGGTATTCTGTTTGACCAGCAAGCCTACCGCGTGCCCAGGGCTTACACATACCCTACATTGACCCATGGCGGCTTCTCTGCACTCCTAGGGGGAGCCGTCGGCTGCCCCAGAGGACAGATGAGGAAACCAAGGCTTGGGAGGAGAAGCGGCGCATCCTGTGGCACACAGTAGGTGTGACACAAGACAGCTGACTCTGGCTTCCAGGCTCTTCCCACAGATCTGCAGAGCTTCTGCCCTCCCAGCCCCACCTGCCAGGACTAGGTCCTCTCCGCCGGCCCTGCAGCTGCGTTCTCTGCCTCTGCTCTGTGGACTGATGCCTCACACGAGCTCCCTGGCCTCTGGCTTCTGGTGGGTTTGCTCAGCAGGAAGGAGCAGCAGGAGCTCTGGGGGTGGGAAGGAGAGAGAGGCTGGCAGGTTCACTCCCTGGTGCCGTCCCTGCTGAGCCAGTTGTGTTCCTGTACCGAAGGCCACTGGCCCTCTTCCACTGCCTCAGCCCTCACGTGGCTCCAGGACCGCTGCCCGCTTTGCCCTGCGGGTCCAGGGGTAGTAACTGCTCCCCACTGTTGCTGTCTCGGGGAATTTAACCATCCCTTCACCTGTCATTAAACTCACTCTGTCACACCTATGAGAGGGACCCTGGGAGACACCCTGCCCCCACTCCCAAAGAGCTCTGGGCTTTGTCACCCACACTTCCTCCTCTCCCCTCTCCAGCCTCCCCATGCCCTCTCTTGTGAACAGTCCATCAGGGCTGGGAGGAAAGCAGGATGAAACCAGTTCCCAGCGAAGCAGCATTCGCCAGCATTTACTTCATACCTCCCTTTAATCAACTCACTTTTCTCTAAAAGCTTTAAAAAAAAATGAACCTGGGTATTTTTTAAGTAACTATTTAGTTTAGGACAGTTTTAGATACACAGAAATACTGTGAAGGTAGTTCAGAGATCAACTCACTTCTTAAACTTTATTTTAAAAGGAAACGTTTCATTATTTCTACAAATGGAAAACCAGTATGACTTGCCTCAAGTAGACTTTAATCTTAAAAATGAACAGTGAAAACAACACAATGTTATTAAATTTTAAAAATTAAAATAAAGAATTAACAGCCCTATACAAGCCGTAATAAATCTGACATTACAAAAATGCAGTCTGTGCAGAGTTGGCTGGGTGTGTGTGTGTGTGTGTGTGTGTGTGTGTGTGTGTGTGTGTGTGTGTGTGTGTCTAGGAATAAGAGGAGACAATTCAACCCCCTCGCAGTGCTGGGCCATCACCAGGTGCCACGTGGCTATTCTCCATGGCCCATGTTAATGACCCTGCTGAGAGCTCGCCAAAGAATGGGCCAACCATGGCGCAGCCCACATTTATGGAGCACCCGCCTTGTGTGGGCTCCATTCTGACGACTTACATATATTCCCATCACAGCCTCCCAAACACCTGATGGGGTAGTATGTACGTCATTATCTCCACTTTTTAGGTGAAGAAATGGAGGCCGGTTAAGTAACTGGTTCAAGGCCACAGCCAGGAGCCACATCAAGGTAGCTGGACCCCAAAGCCTGCACTTTTACCCACTATGTTCTGCTACCAAGAGCTGGAAAAAGGGGAACTGTCTTTAAATAGGAGTTCAACAGGGGCATCTCCTCAGTTTTATCTCCCCCAACGAACTTTGTACCCTGAAATTTCTCAGTGACACAGAAAAGTTGAAAATGTGCTCCTCCTTCACCTTCTGCCATGATTGTGAGGCCTCCCCAGCCATGTGGAACTGTGAGCCCATTAAACTTTCCTTTATAGGCCGGGCACAGTGGCTCATGCCTGTAATCCCAGCACTTTGGGAGGCTAAGGCGGGCGGATCACTTGAGGTCAGGAGTTCAAGACCACCCTGGCCAATACGGCAAAACCTCCTCTACTAAAAATACACACACAAAAAAAATTAGCTGAGCGTGGTGGCGCATGCCTGTAATCCCAGCTACTCGGCAGGCTAAGGCAGGAGAATCGCTTGAACGCAGGAGGCGGAGGTTGAGTGAGCTGAGATCACACCACTGCACTCCAGCCTGGGCAACAGAGCGAGACTCCGTCTCAAAACAAAAACAAAAACAAAAACAGAAACAAACAACAACAAAAAAAACCTCCTTTCTTTTATAAATTACACAGTCTCCAGTATGTCCTTATAGCAGAGTTAGAATAGACGAATACACTCTCCCTCCCCCAGTTTGCTTCTCCCTTCACCCATTCCCACTGATGGGGAGCAGGCAACACCCTCTTCCTGGCTGGGAGGCCTGGCTGACAAAATCCCGAGCTGGACCAGATAGTGGCAAGTGCCAGCTGGGACACAGCAGTCCCAGGGTCTCTGCCACAGACTCACCATGTCACCTTGGGCCTCACCTTCCATACCTGCAAAATGGGGGCAATGAACTTGCTCTGGGCCCAGGGATAAGGAACGATTCTTGGTCAGGTTGGCACACCCCAGAAACTTCCACAAATAGCAGCTGAACCACCCCATCCCCTAGGGCCTCAGGCACAAATCAGCAGCAGAGAAATACCTCTGGGCCCAGCTAGCCTAAGCACAGGCCGAATCAAGGAGGAGCCAGGCCAGGGCCCCTGCAGCTGCCTACTTCCGAGCTGTCAGCATGATGCATGGGACAAATTAAATCCATAAATAAAAGAAGAGTGGCCTGTGGCATCTTGGCCACAACTGCACTTCTTGGCAAACGTTGGCAGGGGATGGTAGGAGAGCCCCTAAGAAGGCCCAGCCCAGCATCCTCTGTATCCACCTGCCTGCCCTACAGGCCACAGAGCATCTGGTCACCAGGCGTTCACTTGGCCTTGTTCCTGTCTCATGTGCGTTCTCCCTGACCAGCTCCAGACACAGCCACCTGCTGCCTCAGCCCCGGTAGTTCCTGATGTAGGAGAACGGGGTCTGGTGGGAGCCAAAGGGCTTCTGGTAATGAGGGGCTTGGGTCAATAGTCTGGGTTCAAGGCCCAGTCTTGGGGTGAGGGCTGTCCCCTACCCACTCTGCCTGGTACCCAATAGATCAGGAGTGAATTAACTTCCAGCCTCCACTAGGAATCTCTCCTCAGGACCCTCATACCCTGCATAGTAACCACTCCCTTCTCATCCTCCAAGGCCATCATTGGACACCTCCTCCAGGAAGCCCTGCTGGAATGACCCAGATTCAGCCACTTGACTCCCAGGTGCATAGGCTTCTCCCAAAGTGGGAAAGTCCTGGGCTGGGCCCAGCCCACCAAGATCTTCCCTGGCAGACTTGTTTAAAATGCCAGCATCCTCCTTGCCTCAGCAGCCCCAGTCCCCATTCCCTGCTTTAGTTTTTGAGCACAGTCCTTATTGCCATCTATCATGATTTTAATGATTTCTTTATTTTCTGGCTCCCCCCTAGAATGTAAGTTCTCTGAGGGGAGGGTCTTTGTCCTTTCTGCTTGCTTTTGGATCTCTGTGTGTAGAGCAGCACCCATGTACATGGCCTCAAATATTAGACAAAAGACAAAAGGTAGGGTGCACAGCATATGCAAAGGCTCAGAGGTGTGATCGGGCTTGGGAAAGGAGGTGTGATCGGGCTTGGGAAAGAAGGTGTGACAGATGGTGGGCATCCCAGAGCAAGGTCCTCAAGAGGTGAGGCGAAGGGAGGAGAGCAAGGCCCAAACAGAGAAGGATCTGGAATGCCAGGTCAGGGTTACAGGGTGATGAGGGCCATGGGAGGGTGTTAAACATTCATTCCACGGACAGGACACAGACTGCACAGTAGCTTTCTTTCTTCCCTTTTTTGCTTGTTTGTTTGAGTCAGCAACTCGCTCTGTTGCCCAGGCTTGAGTGCAGTAGTGCAATTATAGCTCACTGCAGCCCAGATCTCCCAAACTCAACCTTCAGAGTAGCTAAGACTATGGGCGTGCATCACCATGTCTGGCTAATTTTTTATTTTTAGTAGAGATGAGGTCTCACTATGTTGCCCAGGCTGGTCTCGAAGTCCAAGCAATTCTCCCACCTCGGCCTCTCAAAGTGCTGGGATTACATGCGTGAGCCCCTGTGCCTGGCCATTTGTTTGTTTTTATCAAATTGGTTGCAAACATTTAAAAGATAAAAGATCAAGATATTTTACACAAAAATCTAGATCTATTTTCTTGAAAGCTTTTCTTGAAGAATCAGAAGAGCTGGTCTCACCGGGTCCCTATCCCTGCCAGGCAACCACCCACTGGAGTGGGTCTCACTCCCCAGCCCCTGAAGGCCTGTGGGCTTTCTGCCCCTGAGCAAAACTAGAAGCCCCTAGCCTCTTGTCAGGGTCTCCAGAGCACCTGGCCTAGGCCTGGTCCTTGGACGGATGCTGGATTGATGAATGAATGAGTGGAGAACAGATGAATGCAGCAAAAATGAGAGTAATAATGCCTGCTCCCTGTGTCCCACTTTCCCAAAGAAGCATGGAGGTCCTGGTGTTTTGTAAACTTGAAAGTGCCGGAGCTGAGCGTGGTGGCTCACACCTGTAGCCCCAGCTACTCAAGAAGCTGAAGCAAGGAGATTGCTTGAGCCCAGAGTTTGAATCTAGCCTGAACAACATAGTGAGACCTCATCTCTAAAATAAAACAAAACAAAAACCAACTTGGAAGTCCTGGGAAGAATAATAACAAGAAAATAAACACGTATGTAGCATTTACCAGGTGCCCAGCCCCGTTCATAGCAATTTTCTTCCATTATCTAATTTGTCCCTCCCCAGGGTGCAGGATCTCATCCCATCCTGGGAGCAGTATGCCACTTACAGGGCTGGTGGGATGATTAACTTAATTAATGCAGGTAAAGTGCCTAGAAAAGAGCGTGGCACCCAGCAGGTGCCCAGCAAGTGCTAGTCATTGATACACAAGTCAGGCACTTCCACAAGCAGTGAGCTTGTGTGGTGCCTAGATGAGGCTGCTGAAGCTGGGGAGGTTGAGAGATTCACCCAAGTTCACAGGATGATTGGTAGGGAACAGATGGAGAAATATGTGGCATTGGGGGCCTCCACCAGGGAGCCTGTTCTGGTGAGGGGCTGGGTGAAGGGGCAGATCTCTGGTAGAGCAGAAGGCTGTGGTCACGGGACCATAATTCTGGTCCGGGTTGGGGGTTTGGGCCTCCTCCACTCCCTTCCAGCCCTGCAGTCTGAACCCAGCACCCTCCCTCCTCGCTGACCCATCCAGCAGGCCCTCTCAGTGTAGCAACTCACCTTACAGATGGAGACACCAAGACCCAGAGGAGAGGCAGCCTGGCAGGGGAGAGGCACCTGGGCCTCTGGTCAGACCCTCCATGTTCCAGTCCCGGCCCTGCTCCTTACTGGCCCTGAGACCCTGGCCAAGCTGCTTAACCACACTGGTTCTGGGTCCTCACCTTTTATGACCCGTCAGAAGTGTGTACCCTGCCCCAGGCACCCGGCTCAGAGCCTTGCATGTATCATTCCATTCATTCCTGACAGCAACCTCATTCCATGCATGGGGACTCTGAAACGCAGAGAGGGGAAGCAGCTTTCCCGGGTTCACACAGCTAGGGGTGGATTCAGAGTCAGGATTCAGACCGAGACCTGGGTAAGTCCAAAGCCTGTGTTATTGAAGTGAAGGAAATAATGTGGGCCTCATACAGTCGTTGTGAGAATGTAAGGAAATAATAATACCATAGTAGCTAATGTTTCCATCACTTTTGGTTATTGGAAAAGGTGCTATTATAAGCATTTTTAACATATTACTAGTTTAATCTGCACATCGATACTATTGACGGGCATCAATGCTATTATCATCCCCTGATTATAGATCAGGAAACTGAGGCACAGAGAAACTGAAAGCACAAGTTAGGTGATTTGCCCAAGGTCACAGACAAGTGTGTGGTAGAGTCAGGGTTTAAATCCAAGCCTTCAGCTCCCAAGTCCTTGTTTTTTTTACCCACTACTCATGAGCGCAGAGCACCAGCCTGATGGGGCATGCTGGACCCGAAATCCACATGGGCTCTTCTCCTACCTCCAGCATTATGATGTCAGCAGCAGAGCCAGCAATGAGGATGCAGGACACAGGGATTCCTGTCCCAGACAGCTCCCCATCCACCTCACTCCAGCCCCACCACAGGATCTGGTTGGGTCTGGTTGGGTGCACAGGCCATCACCCCTGGGAAAGAGAAGTATCAGCCCAAGAACGATGTGGGAGCTATGCCATCCATCTCCCTAGAAACCTGGGGCAGGGCTGGTCCAGCTAATGCTGCCTGTTCTCCATCCTCACCAGGGCTGTCCCTTTCTCTCAGTTTCCAGAGCCTAGATCTGGGATCCCACAGCAGGCCCCACGGAAGCCATGACCATACTGAACATACTTTTTGACTTCTCCTGTCCTATATCCCGCCATTCCAGGTCTTCTTAAGTGAGGAGACGTCTCCAGCCTTGCTTCAATACATGCTTTCCAACTTCTGCACCTGTTCCACGGTTCCGTCCGCCTGAAGGCTCTCTCACTCTCCTCCAGAAAGACTTCCATCTCCCTGCAGGTAGGGTTCGTCCTCCCTTTCTCTGAAACTCCATGGCCCCACAGCATCACACACCACTGTGATTGTCTTGTTTGTCTCAAGTCCTAGACTAGGCACCTAGTAATTTTACACAAACCCCTCCAAATGCACAGCAACACACTCAGAAGTATGCAACCACACAGATGTATAGCAAAGCTCTCTTCATCTAGATACACCCAGACACCCCAAGGGCCAATTACACAAAGGCACAGGCACATACACATGACCCTCTAACCAGGACACCCAGATACATGCTAATGGTGACACAAGCAACAAGTTGACATCTGGGAGTTTACACACACACACACACACACACACACACACACACTCATAGCATACTTCCAAGCGCACACAGACTCAGCTACCCATGCAAGACCACATGAAGAAATAGCCCTCTCCACACATGGATATGCACACACATGTACAGTCATGCAGAAACACGCAACACCCCACAGTGGGCTCACACACAGAGGTGCCATCTGGTGTCTGTGCTGGAGTCAGTCCCAGGGTGGGCTGGGCGGGCTATGGCCTGAGGCTGGGAAGGCATCTCCTCCGAGACAGGTTGGGGGTCCCAGGGGCAGGGCCTGGGAAACCAGGCCACCACCCCCCGCCGGAGCTCACTCATGGAGGGGAAGAGAAATGATGTGTCTATTGGGCTCCTGGGGAGTATGGGGTGAGGGGTGGGGAGAGGCTGGTCCTGAGTGGAAGGGGCCTCTTGGCTCCAGTTTTCTTCTTGCCACTTGGGCTTCAGACCATCACCAGCCCAGGAAAGCCCTGTCCCCAGGCCCGGCTGCAGGCCATTGCTCAGGCACTCTTGACAGACTTGTCCCTTATGTAGTAAAAGGCAGCATTTACCAAGCACAGGGCCAGACCCAGGGAGAACTTGCACCCCAGGTGCCTCACAGGTTCACCCTATTCCCAGCCTGCCAATGCTGACACACAGATCACAGTGTGCCTCACTTCAGGGATGTCATCTCCCATGATGCTCTCCATACCTCTGACACCTAGGGATCATTCTGCCCATTTTCAAGAGGCTTAGAGAGGTGAAGGTAATTGCCTGAAGTGACCCAGCCCTCCCGAGGTGTCTCCTCGTCCCTGGGTCCCCAGGCTGGGGCTGAGTGTC